>NC_000006.12:160222305-160373820 GCF_000001405.40 Homo sapiens
CCCCATTTACAGATGAGGAAACTGAGGCTTTGAGGCATTAAGGCAATAAAGCCACACACATGGGAAATGTGACGGCAGGGCTCAGGCTCTACAGGACTTGCTCTTCACCACACATATTACTGCCTGCCTGGCACTGGCGCTGGCTAGAGAAAGAAACTTCAATTAGGCATGCTGTAGAAGGAACTTCAGCATTTATTCCACAAATAATTGGTAAGCTCCTGCTCTGTGTATGCCACGCACTGTGCTGAGTTCCAGTGATACAGCAGTAAACAGGATTTAGACTGTCTTTGACGGGAGGTGCCCATGTGTGTGGGAAGCTGCATGGGGAGAGGGGTACGGGGTGGGAGGTGGTTGGTTTAGATGAAAGGTCTCCAACTCAAATGTCTGCATGCACCAAGCAGATCATACAATGTACCAAAGACAATAGGAAACAGTGGGGACTGTGGCCTCCTGCAGAGGGCATGCCCTTGAGAAAGCCAAGCGATCATTCAGCTCCTACAAATTGCCAACAAGAGGAAATATCTTCTCAGTGTTACCAAATCTTCTGCTTTTTAAAAACAGATCCTGGAAATCCAGTTTATGTGGAATTTCCCACTTTAAAAAAATACTTTGTAGGCCAAAGAAAGCACTGGAGAACTTGGTGGCCTGCAGGCTGCGAGTGTGTGACCTCCGCTCGGATTCAAAGGCCTCTTCCAACTCTAAGACTCAAGTTCTAGGAAAAGCCTCAGACCACTGTGATTTACCAGCATTTTGCCCAAGTACTGAAAATGTTAAACATGAAGGTTTGGTAAAATGAATAAAAATCAGTTGTTTGTGGTATCAGCAGGCCAAAAGTGGAGTAAGAAGAAAATAAATAAAAATATCTAAACATACTGTATAAACAAACTTGTGGGGAGAGTGTCAGATAGGTTTGTCTTTATCTAGAATTTTTTAATGTACTGTTTGAATGGGTTCATATGGTCCAAAATTCAAAATTACAAAAAGGTAAGCATTGAAGTCTCCCTTCTACCTGTATCTCACAGTCACTCAATTCCATAGACAACCAGTGTTACGGTTCTTGTATATTTTTCCAGAGCTACAAGTATTTATATATATGTCTTTCACTATTTTTACACAAATGATAGAATATATACATTTCTATGTTTTGCTTTTTCCCCCATTAGCAATATATCTTGGAGAACTTTCCTTGTCAGCGTATGTGAAATGGCCTCATTCTTTTTAATGGCTGTATAATTTTACAGAATGGCATATCATTTATTTAACTGGTGTTCTAATTCATGGTCATTTAGGTTGTTTCCAACACTTGTTATAAAAAATTGCCTTAATGACTAGTCCTGTACATATATCACTTTGTACACGTAAACTTCTAGAGGTGTAGAGTTACTAGGTTAAAGGATATACATGTTTATAATTTTTATTTAATTTATTTTTATTTTTTTGAGACAAGAGTATTGCTTTGTCGCCCAGGCTGGAGTGCAGTGGCACGATCTCAGCTCACTGCAACCTCTGCCTCCCAGTTTCAAGCAATTCTCCTGCCTCAGCCTCCCCAGTGGCTGGGATTACAGGCGCATACCACCACACCCAGATAATTTTTTTGTACTTTTTTAGTAGAGACGGGGTTTCACCATGTTACCCAGGCTGATCTCGATCTCCTGACCTTGTGATCCACCCGCCTCAGCATCCCAAAGTGCTGGGATTAGAAGCATGAGCCACTGCACCCAGCCCATGTTTGTAATTTTTATACTACTATTGCATTGTCCATTATAGAGGCATCTAATTCCTACCAGCAACACGGGAGACTACATTTCTCCCCATTCTTCCCCAACATAGTGTGTTACCAAGTAATTTTAGTTTTGACAATCCAAGTAGTTATTAGTGCAGTGTTAATTTGAACTTCTCTTACTATGAAGGAAGTTGAGCATATTTTCATATATTTAAGAGCTGTTTTTATTTCCTTTTCATTGAATTATTTGCTCAAATCTGTTATTTTTTTTTTTCTATTAGGTGGTCGCTTTTATGGAATTGTTAGGAAAATTAGCCCAATGTAGAGTAGTAAATATTTTCTTCAAGTTTATAATTTTATTTTTAGCTTATAGTAGTTGTTTAACGCAGAATATTTTATTTTTATGAAAGCAAACATATTGACCTTTCTTCTATGGATTCTGGATTTTTTGGGTCATATTTAGAAAGACCTTCTCCACGTGAAAGTTTAAAGAAATTCTCGTATAATGTCTTTGTAATTTTACTAATTTTTTTGATGCTTTCAAGTCTTTGATTTAGTTTGAATTTATCTCAGTGTATGGTGTGAAGTATAAAGTCAATTTAATTCTTTCCAAATGGCTATAGGGTTGTCTTAAAACCTTTATAGAACAATTCATTTAGAACTTTCAACTGCCTACCTTTGCATATTTTCGGCTTCCTCGATGGTCTCAGGCAAAGCTTTCCCTTTAGTTTCTGGAAGCAACAGCACCAGACCTCCAGCAACCAAGCCAAGCACGCCTGAAAGCCAAACAGATGAATATCACATTAAGAACTGAAAAACTCAAGGTCTATAATTAGAGTTTCCCTTATTTTTGTTTAAAACTTTTTTTTAGCATTTTTCTATACTTATTTACAGATTCCTTTGCCATCTCTGACTGCTGTATTTTCCATTATAAATATTATACCAGTTCCAAACTCCATTGAATTACTATTCCTAATAGGGAAATGAAATACTTAACATTTTGAGTCAAGGTTATTCTAGGGTAGAGGACATTGCCACCATATTAAGATACTTTGGAGTTAGAAAATAACTCTGCAAAAAATTAACTGTATGAAAAGGAGGACTGTAACCCTTCCAGTTTAAATCACTTAGTAAGGAAAATAAGTCAGAAACTTGGATCATTTCTAGCAAATAAAAGTAATGAATTATGTATCTATTACTATGTAAGAGCACTAAAAAGTATAGCCAGGATTTTAGTTAAAATTCAGGTGTTCATTAAATTCCCGTTATTCCTTTTTTTCTTTGTCTCTAGCTATAATCTTTAATAATAAACACTTACATGTTTTTGTTTCTTTAGATTCTGATAAAAGTTTTGATCTTTTAAAGTTGTATTTATATGTGTTTCACAATAATAGAATACAGAAAATAGGATGTGGGTTCTTTACTAGTTTTGAGGTCTCAAAACACTGCATGCCAGTCTCTATTTTTACACCCTCAGAAAATGGCTGAATTAGAAGCTGCAGGGCACAGATCCCAAGCTCTGAGGGCCTGGGCTCCAACTCTGGCCCCTTACATACTGGTCTCAAGGCCTTGGGAAGTTCTGTAATCTTTCTGATGCTCCAGACATTCCTATATAAATTGGGATAACATACTGTCAAGTCAAGTTTAGCCTACAGCTGCCTCCTTACATATTTTAAGTTTGGCCTAAAGGTTTCTCTATACATTGTGAACTATAATCTAGATGGAATGGTAAACACACTATAGCCTACTCTTGTGCCAATTAAAACCACCTTTGCAAAATTATGACTGAGACAGTGAAAGAGATCTAACTTAATCGACTTCATCTTGCTTCTAACCTCCAAGCTGTCCTTGTCATTCTTGGGTATAGGCTGAACTAACTTTGGGAGAAACTTAGTTTATAGATTAAAACAAAGATGACCACAGCGAAAGGAGACCTCTTTGTTGCCTGGGGACTAGGTTGCCTTTGTAGGACTAACATTAGCCACAACATAAGAAATTATGGTTTAGGAGTCATGCAGTTGGAGTCTACAAGATTCTGACCCTTTCTAAACTGCTGCTAAAATCAGTGCTTGAGGCATTTTGCAGACCCTGCACTCAGTGGATCAGCTGACACCACCCAAATTGATAAACTGGCTTATCTGGTCTTGTGGCCCCCAGCAAGGACTGACTCAGCGCAAGACAGCTTTGACTCCCTATGATTTCACCCCTGACCAATCAGCACTGCCGGCTCACTGGCTTCCCCCACCCACAAAGTTATGCTTAAAAACTTTGCTCCCCAAATGCTCAGGAGACTGATTTGAGTAATAATAAAACTCCAGTCTCCCACACAGCCGGCTCTGTGTGAATTACTCATTCTCTATTGCAATTCCCCTGTCTGGAGAAATTGACTGTCTAGGCAGCAGGCAAGGTGAACCCCTTGGGTGGTTACAAAATCACCAAGTTTTAGCCAGTCAAATGCGGCCAACTGTTCAAACCATGTTCAAATAAGGCAAACGCTAAGCTGTAACCAATCCCATTATTTGTGTACCTCACTTCCGATTTGTGTACGTGATTTTCTTTTTCTGTCCATAAATCTTCTTTCACCCTGTGGTTGTGTTGGAATCTCGGAGCCTACTCTGGCTCAGGAGGCTGCCTGATTCTCGAATCATTCTTTGCTTAATTAAACTCTTAAAAAAATTTAATTCAGCAGAAGTTTTTCTTTAACAATACCACCTCACAAATGTAAACTAAAAATAAAATTCGGAGATCCCCAACTGATTGAATTGAACTGAAAAACTTCAAGGTTTTTCACCCCCACCCCTTCCCATTCAAGCCCTGATGGAAAGGGGTGGGGGTCAGACATATCTCATTATACCCTCTCCCTTTTGGAGTTCAAGCACAACTCACCAGTGTTAACATTAAAACATATCTTAAGACTGACACAACAGACTCTTTGTAGCAATAAGATAGCAAATTCCAGCCTGACCATAGAATAATATCACATGACAGACAAAAAAAATTAAAATATTTTACCCCAAAATATATTTCTTTGCCCTATTTTGAAATGGCCTGGCAAAGCCATCTTTTGTGGAGAGAATTTGCATCTGTAAAGAATCTCTATTAACATAACTAGATCTTTCCCTTTCCAGACCCTCCCAATCCTGAAGAGATTAACTGAGAGTCTAGCACCTTTTAAAGATCTGTATAGGAAACATTTGCCATTGATTTTCTCAAAGGGTACCACCTATGAGACTTCATCTACATAATAAGAGCCTTGGTTTCCATAACCACTTATCTTAACTCAGGCACTCTTTTCTATTGATTCCGGACCTTCAGATAATAACTTAACTCTTTCAAGCAATTGCCAATCAGAAAATCTTTGAATCCACCTATGACCTGGAAGCCCCTGCTTTGTGTTGTCTTGCTTTTCTGGACCAAACTAATGGATACCTCGCATGTATTGATGGATGGCTTTTGTCTGCTTAATACGTATAAAACCAAGCTGTAATCCAACTACCTTGGACACATGTTCTCAGGACCTCTTGAGACTGTGCCTCAGGCAAGTCACTCATATTTGGTCAGAATGTGGTCACTCATATTTGGCTCAGAATAAACTCTTTAAATATTTTACAGAATTTAGCTTTTTTCCTCGACATGTCAGAGGCATTTGAAACACAACAACTTTCTCTTGAATAGGGACTGGGTAAAATAAGGCTGAGACTTACAGGATTGCATTCCCAGACAGTTAGCACTCTAAGTCACAGGATGAGATAGGAGGTCAGCACAAGATACAGCTCATAAAGACCTTGCTGGTCAAACAGGCTGCAGTAAAGCCAGCTATAACCCACCAAAACCAAGATGGCAATGAGAGGGACCTCTGGTCGTCTTCATTGCTACACTCCCACCAGTACTGTGACAGTTTACAAATGCCATGGCAACATCAGGAAGTTACCCTATATGGTCAAAAAACAGGAAACTCATTAATAACCCACCTTTTGTTTAGCATATAATCAAGAAATAACTATAAAAATGGGCAACTAGCAGCCCTCAGGGCTGCTCTGCCTGTGGAGTAGCCATTCTTTATTCCTTGACTTCCTTAATAAAGTTGCTTTCACATTATTCTATGGATTTGCCCTGAATTCTTTCATGTGTGAGATCCAAGAACCCTCTCTTGGGGTCTGGATCGGACACCTTTCCAATAACATCTTTCTGGTGAACCCTGAAGGGAGGATACTGAGGAGACCTCCCCTCCGCCAGCGCAAAGGAAACAGACTGCAGCACTGATTAATTAACTTTGGGTAAGTGCTGGCGTACCCAGGTAAAGGACGTGATTGGGTTAGAGGCCCAATTTAGGGGAGTTAGAGTCTCTTCTAAGACAGAGAGGGTTAAAAGTCCCTCTTAATAAAAGGCAAAGACACTTGACTGAACTTGGGTTTGAGGACTAACTTAGAAAGGCTAGAGTCTTTCCTAAGACTGAGGGGATTAGAGGTCCCTCTCAGTAAAGTCCCCCTCAGCTAAGAACTAGTTTGGCACTATGGGATGTTAACTGCTATTTTCTTTGAATTAATTTCCCTTGCACTCTGCTGATGTCTATGGGTGACAGGATTAGGCATATACAGGATCATAGAAACATGGATAGTAATTGTCAGGCCTCTGAGCCCAAGCTAAGCCATCATATCCCCTGTGGCCTGCACGTATATATCCAGATGGCCTGAAGTAACTGAAGAATCACAAAAGAAGTGAAAATGGCCTGTTCCTGACTTAACTGATGACATTACCTTGTGAAATTCCTTCTCCTGGCTCGTCCTGGCTCAAAAGCTCCCCCACTGAGCACCTTGTGTCCCCCACCCCTGCCCACCAGAGAACAACCCCCTTTGACTGTAATTTTCCATTACCTACCCAAATCCTATAAAACGGCCCCACCCCTATCTCCCTTCGATGACTGTCTTTTTGGACTCAGACCTCCTGCACCCAGGTGAAATAAACAGCCTCGTTGCTCACACAAAGCCTGTTTGGTGGTCTCTTCACATGGACACCAGTGAAATTTGGTTCCGTGACTCGGATCAGGGGACCTCTCTTGGGAGATCAATCCCCTGTCCTCCTGCTCTTTGCTCTGTGAGAAAGATCCACCTATGACCTCTGGTCCTCAGACTAACCAGCCCAAGGAACATCTCACCAATTTTAAATCTGGTAAGTGGCCTCTCTTCACTCTCTTCTCCAACCTCTCTCACTATCCCTCAACCTCTTTCTTCTTTCAATCTTGGCACCACACTTCAATCTCTCCCTTCTCTTAATTTCAGTTCCTTTCCTTTTCTCGTAGAGACAGAGATGATGCATTTTATCTGTGGACCTGAAGCTCCAGCACCAGTCACGGACTTGGGTTTAATCATGTGGGGATGCCTGCCTGATTATTTACCCACATTTCATTGGTGTCTGATCACCACGGGGATGCTTGCCTTGGTCATTCACCCACATTCCTTGGTGGCAAGTGAATTGCGGGGGCGCCTGCTTTGGCTGCTCACCCACATTGCAGCCCAGGGCTGCTCACCCAACCCCTTCTCTCCATGTACCCACCCCTTCTCCACTTTCCTGGGGGGCAAGCACCTCCCACCCCTTTTACACTTTTCTGGGGGGCAAGCACCCCCCACTCCTTCTCTCTGTGTCTCTACTCTCTCTTTTCTCTGGGCTTGCCTCCTTCATTATGGACAACCTTCCACCTTCCATTCCTCCTTCTTCTCCCTTAGCCTGCATTCTCAAAAACTTAAAACCTCTTCAACTCTCAGCTGACCTAAAATCTAAGCATCTTATTTTCTTCTGCAACACTGCTTGACCCCAATACAAACTCGACAGTGGTTCCAAATAGCCAGAAAATGGCACTTTTGATTTTTCCATCCTACAAAATCTAGATAATTCTTGTCGTAAAATGGGCAAACGGTCTGAGGTCCCTGATATCCAGGCATTCTTTTACACATTGGTCCCTCCCTAGTCTCTGTTCCCAATGCAACTCATCCCAAATCTTGCTTCTTTCCCTCCTGCCTGTTCTCTCAGTCCCAACCCTAATCATCACTGGGTCTTTCCAATCTTCCTTTTCTACAGACTCATCTGACCTGTCCCCTCCTCACCAGGCTGCTCCTTGCCAGGCCGAGCTAGGTCCCAATTCTTCCTCAGCCTCTATTCCCTGACCCTATAATTCTTTTTTCACCTCCCCTCCTCACACCCGGTCTGGTTTACAGTTTCGTTCCACAACTAGCCCTCCCCCACCTGCCCAGCAATTTCCTCTTAAAAAGGTGGCTGGAGCTAAAGGCGTAGTCAAGGTTAATGTTCCTTTTTCTTTATCTGACCTCTCCCAAATCAGTTAGCATTTAGGCTCTTTTTCATCAAATATAAAAACCCAGCCCGGTCCATGGCCCTTTTGGCAGCAACCCTGAGACTGTTTACAGCCCTAGACCCTGAAGGGTCAGAAGGCCATCTCATTCTAAATATGCATTTTATTACCCAGTCAGCTCCTGACATTAGAATAAAGCTCCAAAAATTAAATTCCAGCCCTCAAACCCCACAACAGGACTTAATTAACCTTGCCTTCAAGGTGTACAATAATAGAGTAGAGGCAGCCAAGTAGCAATGTATTTCTGAATTGCAATTCCTTGCCTCCACTGTGAGACAAACCCCAGACACATCTCCAGCACACAAGAACTCCAAATGCCTGAACCGCAGCTGCCAGGGGTTCCTCCAGAACCTCCTCCCCCAGGAGCTTGCTACAAGTGCCAGCAATCTGGCCTCTGGGCCAAGGAATGCCTGCAGCCTGGGCTTCCTCCTAGCCATGTCCCATCTGTGCAGGACCCCACTGGAAATTGGACTGTCCAACTTGCCCCGCAGCCAGTCCTAGGGCCCCTAAAGCTCTAGCCCAAGGCTCTCTGACTGACTCCTCCCCAGATCTGCTCAGCTTAGCAGCTGAAGACTGATGCTGACCAATCACCTCGGAAGCCCCCTGGACCATGATGGACACTGAGCTTTGGGTAACTCTTATGGTGGAGGGTAAGTCCGTCCCCTTCTTAATCAATACGGAGGCTACCCACTCCACATTACCTTCTTTCCAAGGGCCTATTTCCCTTGCCTCCATAACTGTTGTGGGTATTGATGGCCCAGCTTCAAAACCCCTTAAAATTCCCCCACTCTGGTGCCAACTTGGACAACATTCTTTTATGCACTCTTTTTTCAGTTATCCCCACCTGCCCAGTTCCCTTATTAGGCCAAGATATTTTAACCAAATTATCTGCTTCCCTGACTATTCCTGGACTACAGCCACATCTCATTGCCGTCCTTCTTCCCAACCCAAAGCCTCCTTTGCGTCTTCCTCTTGTATCCCCCAACCTTAACCCACAAATATGGAATACCTCTACTCCCTCCCTGGCAACCGATCACATGCCCATTACTATCCCATTAAAATCTAATCACCCTTACCCTACTCAGCGCCAATATCTCATCCTGCAGCATGCTTTAAAAGGATTAAAGCCTGTTATCACTCACCTGCTACAGCATGGGCTTCTAAAACCTATAAATTCTGCTTACAATACCCCCATCTTACCTGTCCTAAAACCAGACAAGCCTTACAGGTTAGTTCAGGATCTGCGCCTTATCAACCAAATTGTTTTGCCTATCCACCCCGAGGTGCCAAACCCATATACTCTCCTATCCTTAATACCTCCCTCCACAACCCATTATTCTGTTCTAGATAAACCTAGCTGACCCCATAAATCCTAAATCCTTTCCCCACTCCCCTTTCCATTCCTTAAAAAACAGCCCTAAAAGCTGCTCCTATGCTGGCTCTCCGTAACTCTTCACTCCCTTTTCATTACATACAGCTGAAGTGCAGGGCTGTGTGGTCGGAATTCTTATACAAGGACCAGGACTGCGCCCTGTAGCCCTTTTATCCAAACAACTTGACCTTACTGTTTTAGCCTAGCCCTCATGTCTGTGTGTGGTGGCTACCACTGTGTTAATGCTTTTAGAGGCCCTCAAAATCCCAAACTATGCTCAGCTCACTCTCTACAGTTCTCATAATTTCCAAAATCTATTTTCTTCCTCTCACCTGGCTCCTTCAGCTATACTCACTCTTAGTTGAGTCTCCCACAATTACCATTGTTCCTGGCCTGGACTTCAATCTGGCCTCCCACATTATTCCTGATACCACACCTGACCCCCATGACTGTATCTCTCTGATCCACCTGACATTCACCCCATTTCCCCATATTTCCTTCTTTCCTGTTCCTCACCCTGATCACACTTGGTTTATCAATGGCAGTTCCACCAGGCTTAATCGCCACACACCAGCAAAGGCAGGCTATGCTATAGTATCTTCCACATCTATCATTGAGGCTACCGCTCTGCCCCCCACTATCTCTCAGCAAGCTGAACTCATTGCCTGAACTTGGGCCCTCACTCTTGCAAAGGGACTACAAATCAATATTAATACTGACTCTAAATATGCCTTCCATATCCTGCACCACCATATGGGCAGAAAGAAATTTCTCACTATGCAAGGGTCCTCCATCATTAATGCCTCTTTAAAAAAAAAACATTTCTCAAAGCTGCTTTACTTCCAAAGGAAGCTGGAGTCATTCACTGCAAAGGCCATCAAAAGGCACCAGATCCCATCGCTCAGGACAATGCTTATGCTCATAAGGTAGCTAAAAAAGCAGCCATCAAAAGGCATCAGATCCCATCACTCAGGACAATGCTTATGCTGATAAGGTAGCTAAAAAAGCAGCTAGCATTCCAACTTCTATCCCTCACGGCAGTTTTTCTCCTTCTCATCTGACCACTCCCACCTACTCCCCACTGAAACTTCCACATATTAATCTTTTCCCACGTAAGGCAAATGGTTCTTTGACCAAGGATCTCCTTCCAGCCTCACAGGCCCATTCTATTCTGTCATCATTTCGTAGTCTCTTCCATGTAGGTTACAAGCCACTAGCCCATCTCTTAGAACCTCTCATTTCCTTTCCATCGTGGAAATCTATCCTCAAGGAAATCACTTCTCAGTGTTCCATCTGCTATTCCACTACTCCCCAGGAATTTCTCAGGCCCCCTCCCTTCTCTACACATCAAGCTCGGGGATTTGCCCTGCCCAGGACTGGCAAATTGACTTTACTCACATGCCCCGAGTCAGGAAACTAAAATACCTCTTGGTCTGGGTAGACACTTTCACTGGATGGGTAGAGGCCTTTTCCACAGGGTCTGAGAAGGCCACCATGGTCATTTCTTCCCTTCTGTCAGACATAATTCCTCGTTTTGGCCTTCCCACCTCTATACAGTCTGATAACGGACCAGCCTTTATTAGTCAAATCACCCAAGCAGTTTCTCAGGCTCTTGGTATTCAGTGGAACCTTCATACCCCTTATCATCCTCAATCTTCAGGAAAGGTAAAATGGACTAATGGTCTTTTAAAAACACACCTCACGAAGCTCAGCCACCAACTTTAAAAAAAGGACTCTGTCAAGAATAGAGCCCAAAAACTCACCAACCAAACAAGTAATTACACTGAACCCCCTTGGACACTCTCTAATTGGATGTCCTGGGTCCTCCCAATTCTTAGTCCTTTAATACCTATTTTTCTCCTTCTTTTATTTGGACCTTGTGTCTTCTGTTTAGTTTCTCAATTCATACAAAAATGCATCCAGGCCATCACCAATCATTCTATATGACAAATGCGCCTTCTAACAACCTTACCGCAAAATCTTCCTTCAGCTTAATCTCTCCCACTCTAGGTTCCCACGCTGCCCCTAATTCCACTCGAACCAGCCCTGAGAAACATCACTCATCATCTCTCCATACCACCCCCCAAAATTTTCACCACCCCAAAACTTTACCAATATTTTGTTTTTTGTTATTTTTCTTATTAATATAAGGAGACAGGAATGTCAGGCCTCTGAGCCCAAGCTAAGCCATCATATCCCCTGTGACCTGCACGTATACATCCAGATGGCCTGAAGTAACTGAAGAATCACAAAAGAATTGAAAATGGCCTGTTCCTGCCTTAACTGATGATATTACCTTGTGAAATTCCTTCTCCTGGCTCATCCTGGCTGAAAAGCTCCCCCACTGAGCACATTGTGACCCCCGCCCCTGCCTGCCGAGAACTACCCACTTTGACTGTAATTTTCCTTTACCTACCCACATCCTATAAAACGGCCCCACCCTATCTCCTTTCACTGACTCTCTTTTCGGACTCAGCCTGCCTGCACCCAGGTGAAATAAACAGCCTTGTTACTCACACAAAGCCTGTTTGGTGGGCTCTTCACACGGACACGAGTGAAAGTTATTTCTTCCTAAGAGGGACGCTTGAGAGCGGATAGGACTGCTGGAAAAGATCCCTTCGCTACCGACAAGTGGTCACCTGAACAGTGTTACTGTAATGGGTGGGTCTTTCTCTGGCCTCCCTGAGCACCTCTCCTTCCCCACCCTGCCACAGGAGGAGCTGCCCCTGCCGCCCCACCAGACAATGCTTTTCTCCCTTTCTCTCCTTTCTCTTTTCTATTTTTTCTGTTACTCAGGGTAACTGTCTGCTCTTTCATTGTGCCCAGAGACCACATGTTGAAAAATGTCCTTGGGAGCTTGAACTTGTAACCACATGGCAGTTCTTTCTCTTGGTTTCCACCATCCAACAGATAGGAATTTGGGGGTTCATGTCATATTTATCCCTAAAAATTATCTTGAACAGTTAAAAGACTTTGCAAGCTCAGAATTGGCTGCTCTAAAATCCTTCTGGGAAGAACAACGGAAACCAGCCAATGCTGTAGCTCAATAGCTAAGGCTTCACCATTTTACAATGGTGGCCCAGGGTTCAATCCTGGCTTAGGGAATGAATCCTTTCTGGTTTAAAATCTGTATAACCTTTACCACTGGTTAATTCTCTTCCTCTCCACAAACCATCTTGAACTTTCCTTTCTCTGAGCAAAAAATATCGGCTGTTTGGCATGGCTAAAGTCAGGTAATAAGATATTTAAAAGGATTTGAGTGCTATGGTTAAAAGTCAGTTTGTTCAAGCTCTAACAGCCTGGAACTCCTTGGGAAAAACAGAGGAGACATCACAGACCTCCTTTTGGTAAAACCTCTGTTTTCCTCATAAAGCCCAAGGAATTAAAGTGGATAGATCCATCTCAAAATCTAAGGGTCTGTTCTATTTTTCATTGCATTATCTGATGTTTTTGACTTGGAGGGTATCAGAAATTACTATACATTATGAGAGAGCTTTGATGTGTGACTAGGTAGGAAATATAGTTTCAGGGATAGCTAATGGCAGTTATGGGGAGATCCTCAGCTCTTTGCAAGTTTACATCAGAAAAGCATGCTCTTGGCCACCTAGAAGTTATGAAAATGTCCCCATTCCCCACTGACAGATAAGATTCCTATAGGAAATGGGCTGATTTCCTCTTTTTGGGTTAGAGGATATGGTATAAAAATGAGACCCTTAATTTCAGGGAATCTGAAATTCAGGGTTAAAGGATTGTTTAAAGTTAAATAAGATAAAGCTGAAGGTTTCAACAAGTTGTGGAGGATTTGTGAAAAATTAATCATGTAAAAGAAATTCTGTGTGTGAATATATTGGCTAAAGTTAAAGGGGTATCATTCAGTTTTTCCATAAATTGAACATTAGGATAAAAGCACAATAGGTTTTTCTTACAGCACTGATCTGCTCTTTAATAAAAAGTTTGTAAAGAGTTATAAAAGGTTTATGAGAATCCTACCTTATGGTCAAACATTAAAATTGGGTAGATATGTCTATGAAGGTTTAACATTAATAGTACACTAATGTAAAAGTGAAATTTGACTTATGTAGTATAAAAGTCATACAGGAAGCATTGTTGAACATAAAATGGTGTTTGGCTGTCTTTGGGCTCTATTTGTATAAATACATTAATGGTATGTGTTCCAAAATTATATGAAACTCCTATAATTCTGATAGGACTTAGTGTACATTATCAGTAATAATTATAATTGCTATGTTAAATTAATGTGTGCTACAGAAGTAACATATTTATTTGTCAATTGTGTTTTTGACTGTGGCTGCCCTAAGACTTTACCATCCACAGACAATTGTTGTTTTGTGTTGATCCTCTTCAAAAGGTGGTTTTATAATCAACTATAGGACTTTAACAGGTATTCTTGAATGCAGGTTTCTGATAACTTTGGAGATTGTGACATTAGAATAGAGGAAAATACTTTCAGGACTCTCAGGGAGAGGTGAAATGTTCATGTATATCAAACAAAGCAGGAGTTAACTGCATGGACTGAATAAAAGACCGAAGTATTCTTTTTTAATTTTTTGCTTAAAACGTTGCTGATCCTTTGTTTTGTTTTTCAGAGTCAAGGAAACTTTTCTTTTGAGCTATTAGTATTTACAGCTTGTAGCAATTAAGTCAAGTATATTCCTGTGAAAAACTTTGGAGCACATTTGTTTCTCTCTACCTGATTTCTCCAGAATTTGAAAATTATTTGTGAGTACTCTTAACTTATGGCAATATAGTTATTTGCATAAGTGCAATAAGAATCTGTTTTCTTTTGCAACAGGACACAGTTGGAGAAACTGGTTATTTTTACCAAGGCTTTGACTGGAATGTTGTGCTTTCCTTTAAGAAATCAAACTTAACTGGTAGAGCCAATAAAAGTCCCCTGGGAAAACTGACATCATACCTTGTCTACATAGTCCCTGTACAGGGTTCCTGACCTGTGGTAAGTAAAAAATGTCACTTTCTGACAGACCCAGGAGCCTGAGTTACCTAGGGACCTCAAGAGGAGAGGCATTTACTCAACTTATTGGTATTAGAGGGTACAAACCCATGGCTGGGCTTGGCTTTGAAAAAAAAAGTCTTATCTGAGATTCCTTTTATGGAACAAAGTTTTGTCAAAGCCAATTTAAAAAGCCTATGTGAAAAATAATTATTTTTGCTGCACTTTATACAAATAATCAGGCCAAGTACAATAAAGCAAATCAGTCCTACCAAGATTTGTCTTTAGCAAAAATGGGAAACTGGAGAGAGAAAAATTATGTTTCAAGAACAATGGTATACCTGTTATTATATTCTAGTCTCATCAGTTGTTTTAAGCTTTTCTTCCTGCACTTTAGACTGACCCTGCTCATTCCAACGAGTGATTCCTGCAGTTCAGAAGAAACAAGAGGGATGGGTAATATAAAAATCTGGATCAATATTCTAATTCTGGGCTCATTGGAATCAGGTAGTGACCCCATATCAGCATGGTTTCAACAATTGCCAGGTTCATGGAAAGCCTTCTAATTTAGTTTGCTTGGGATAATTTTGCTTATTTTTCTTTACTGTTGTGGAACATATTGCCGTTTTACTCTTTGTGTAGGAATACACAAAGGGTTGTGCAGGATAAGCTTACCAAATGTTTTCTTAAATTAAACTCTTATTAATCTTTCAGATATCACTTTTTGTCAGAACTCAGAGTTATGAATGGCCCTCACCATACTGATGCTTTCTGACTGAGCTCCTCTCTACCCTGAATACAAGAGACCCTAATACTTAATCAGAAATATCATCACCCTTAATCAGAATGAAAAAGTTACAGAAGATGGATCTTTGTCTCTCTGCAACCATTAAGATTAAGAGTTCTCTTACAAAAGGGAATGGGGAAATCTCAGAGGTGTTTGAACCAGAGAAACTTTATCTTGAAGAGGGGCTGGGTAAAATAAGGCTGAGACTTACAGGGCTGCATTCCCAGACAGTTAGGCATTCTAAGTCACAGGATGAGATAGGAAGTTGGCACAAGATACAGGTCATAAAGACCTTGCTGATCAAACAGGCTGCAATAAAGAAGCTGGCTACAACCCACCAAAACCAAGATGGCAATGAGAGTGACCTCTGGTTGTCCTCACTGCTACACTCCCACCAGTGCCATGACAGTTTACAAATGCCATGGCAACATCAGGAAGTTACCTTATATGGTCTAAAAACGGGGAACTCATAAATAATCTACACTTTGTTTAGCATATAATTAAGAAATAACCATAAAAATGGGCAACAAGCAGCCCTCAGGGCTGCCCTGCCTATGGAGCAGCCATTCTTTATTTGTTTACTTTCTTAATAAACTTGCTTTCACATCACTCTGTGAACTCGCCCTGAATTCCTTCTTGTGTGAGATCCAAGAACCCTCTCTTGGGGTCTGGATTGGGACCCCTTTCTGGTAACAGAGACAGGCTTGTTATGAGGCTGAAATGAATTAATATTGTCAAAGGCTTAGAATAGTGCCTGGCACATGGTATATACAGTGGAAGTGCCTATTAAATAATTAACCTCTCAAAATGTCTCCAAGCCTCCCAAGATTCACTTGGTTATTGTATTGTAAGTAATGCAAACAAGAAACACATTCAGCTGGCATCTGAATCTCTGAAGTGAGTGAATCATGATGAATACAACTGATTAATAAAATTACCATTCGTTTGGCATTTTATATTTGCAAAGACAGGCCTAGTTAACCAGAATAATCCTTGTTGATTTTTCCAGTGCTCTTTCAGCCAGGATTTTCCAGTGTGTTGACTTTCAGTCTTCTTTGATTATCGTTTTATGGCTATTTCAAGACCACAATTAGCACACCATTATTGTGTGGAAAAGAAAGAGAAAGAAGTTAAAATGAAAAACTATTAGGTTTTCTTTCCACTAGCCACTCATACTAAAGGTTAGTGAGGGAAGAATATGAAATTACTTTCAAGAATAAAATTAGAATTGTCTTTGAGTTTACTTTAAATATTGAAATGTAGTTATAATCCTTTATCTTTCCTGCAGGAAGGTGTCAGGCAGGAACAAGGGTCAATAAAGTACTATTTGTTAAATAGTACTTAGAGAAACATGAAGTTGTCAAAGTTGTTTGAACCAGAGTGACTCTGTCTTGGACAGGGGCTGGGTAAAATGGGGCTGAGACCTACTGGGCTGCATTCCCAGGAGGTTAGGCATTCTTAGTCACAGGATGATAGGAGGTCAGCAAAAGACACAGGGTCACAAAGACCTTGGTGATAAAACAGGAAGTGGTAAAGAAGCTGGCCCAAACCCACCAAAACCAAGATGGCGATGGAAGTGACCTCTGGTCATCCTCACTACTCATTATACACTAATTATAATGCATTAGCATGTTAAAAGACACTCCCACCAGCACCATGACAGTTTACAGATGCCAGATGCCATGGTGATGTCCGGAAGTCACCCTATATAGTCTGAAAAGGGGAGGAACCCTCAGTTCCAGGAACTGCCCATCCCTTTCCTGGAAAACTCACGAATAATCCACTCCTTGTTTAGCATATAATCCAGAAGTAACTATAGGTTACTCAACTGAGCAGCCCATGCTGCTGTTCTGCCTATGGAGTAGCCATTCTTTATTCCTTTACTTTCTTAATAAACTTGCTTTCCTTTTACTCTATGGATTGACCTCGAATTCTTTCTTGTGCAAGATCCAAGAACCCCCTCTTGGGGTCTGGGTCAGGACCTCTTTCCAGTAACGAAGTAACCATCTGCTATCCAGAAATGTCCTGCTGACCCATTAGTCACCCACTGTCCACCTAAGGGAGTGGCCAAGATTGAGTGGTCTCTAACTTCCTCCATGGCAGGAAGGAGGACAGAGGGTTTGATGGGTACCTCCTCATGATGAAAAGAGGGTTCTGAGGACAGTTTCCTTAGCCAGTGTTGGGGGAGAAAGAAATAGGGGTCACATATGTCTCAGGAGTAGCACCAGCTACTCTGTGGCCAAGTTATCTCAGGATAAAGAGCTTGTGCTCTGTCAACTTTGGCCATCTTATTGCTATTAAACTGGATCATGGAGGAATTCATTGCATCTGTTTTGCAGGTAAGTTCCATCAGTGGTTTGGAACTTTTGCTGGCAGATCTAGAGTGGTGGAAAATTTTCCCCCTCACAAATTCCGTGAGAAGAAGGGGAAGAAAAGGAATGAGCAGGGTAGCTGTGTGGGGCATTGGGCAGCCTTAGGAGTGAAGTGGTGGGAGCTTCCCCTGATAACGGAAATGAGTGACTGAGGAAAATGTCCCAGTCAGTCGAGGTTTATTAAGTCAGCTTTAGGGCATGTCCCTGAAAAGCAATGAGCCACAGACACATCTGTGGCTGTTTTTACAAAGAGGCTTTCAGGAGGTTGGTATTTATACATTTCCTTAAAGTAGGGAGGCAGGTAGGGAGAGGGGCAGGTAGGCCGTAGAGGAATGTTTCCATCCTTGTGAGACTTTAACTAGTGCCCAGTTAAATTTACATTTTACATATGATAAGGTGAATGTTTAAAGAGAAAATGGGAGTAAAGAAAAGAATCAATTATGCAGGCCTCTCTGAGTAGGTGGAGGAATGACTGATCTTGTCTTTATTCTGTACATTGGGAAATAAGCTTGCAATCAACATTATCAGTGTGGAATCAGCAGACTTTAGTTTTAGAAGCTAAGCTTAGATTGTAGACCTAAAATTCTTGTCTACAGGAGGCCAGCAAAGAATTTACTTATGAATGACCTGCAGGGGTGGTCCTTTGTAGATAACTGAGGCATGATGTATAATGCTTGTAACAGCTATTCATCTGGAAGAGGGTGTTGCATGACTCAACCTCCAGGCTTAGTCTTCCCTTTTGCATAAGGATTCTGGGGGTCCTGAGATTTTTAAATTTCCTTTCCCTTTACACCCTCATGTACATCTGAGAGTGAAATCTCTTCTTCTTCTCTTCCCCTAAATTGAGTGCTATATGCCCATGGGAAAAAGCATCACATATTCAATTAAAAGCAGCTCAGAATGGGTGTCAAAGGAGCCTGAAATGGGTGCATTGAGGTGTTCCAGTTAACCAGAGAAGGCTCAGTGCTGGTGTGTTCCTGCTGGCAGTAGCAGAAGGGAAGTGCTATGTGACGCTCCTGAAATCTAATTGCTCCAGGTGCATCAACACAGGTGCTCCATTATGCTGATGCATTTTCTTAATGTGGGTCTTTATTTCCTCTGGGTTTTGAAATTGCCTTTTGCAAAATTTTAACCCCCTTCTTTGAAGTAAGAAGTAAAAGGGCTTGTGTTTTACCACCTCTGGGCATGGAGGAGTTAACTCTTTGACAGAGACCTCAGGAAGGGTGGAAATCAGCAGAGAGAGAGTTAGGGGCCTGCTGCTGGGAAACTTTCTTCCTTCTCATTCTTCTCTTCAACATTCTGCCTCTATGGCAGGAGTCCCATACTTGAGTATTAGTAGTGATGATAATATTATGAATACTGAACTAGTATTATTGATTAGTATTACTAATACTAATAATATTACTAATTACTAGGCACATCCAGGAAGAACGCAAGCCACAGACACATCATTACTACTATGAGTAGTAATTAGTAGTTACTAATAGGCATGACACCTGTTTTGAATGAAGTAGAAGAGAAGTGAAGGTCTCTAGAAAAATAAGTTTTCACTTAAAGACATCTGTGAAGATTTCTTACCGAAAACCATCAGCGGGAGCTCAAGCCAGATGTTAGTGAGCCGGTAGACCAGGAATGGCGTGATGATGCCACCAATGTCACACATTGAGGAACAGATGTGGACGCCAAGATTCCTAGAATGCAGGAAACTGATTTAACTTGTTAACTTATCACAGTGCAGTAGTTATCTCCCATCCACCCCTGAATAAACACTTCCTCAAATAATTAAAATGTTCAAGAGCTATAGTGTACACTGCTCAGGTGACGGGTGCACCAAAATCTCAGAAATCACCACTGAAGAACTTATTCATACAACCATATACCACCTGTTTCCCAGAAACCTATTGAAATAAAAAAAAAACACCAAAAATAAAATGTTCAAGAGTTTAAAAAAACATTCACGTTATTTTCAATGCACAATATTTTATATATATATATATATACATAATTCCATTCATATTCTGTCATTCTTGTTTTGTATAAACCTTAAATTTTTTTTTAATGATGGGAGGAGCAATTGTTTCTTTTTACTTCCATCACCTGGCTTCCCTAAGCTGTTTCTATGGACCTGTTTGTGCTGTTCCACAACAATCTCCCCTGTAGCCATTGGGTAATCCCTGTCTTGCAATTCAATTTTCTGTTCTCACCATGGCCTCTGTATTTTACCCCAGCCTGTAAGTGTGAGAGGTGAACTGCTGGGCCTGGCTGGACCTTTACGTGTTCTCACCTTCCCTTACACTGTGTTTTGAAGGTAAGATATCCTTTGTCTGCACTTGTGGTGGTTCCAGCCAATGAACAAATGTCTCACCCACCCTCGTCATTCTAAGGAAAATGCACTCACCTAATGAATGTGGGGTACAGCTCAGCATTGACCAGGCAGACTATCTCATAGGCCATTGTGATCCCCATTCTTCCCAAGCATGAGATAATAATTTTTAGCCATTGTAGATCTAAGAGGGAAAAGAACAGTACTTATCCGTACACAGATGATTCCTCATCTTCAGACAGTGCTCCAGAGTGGGACTGTAAGGACAAATTCCCCATCCCAGAATGGGACAAGAAAGAAAAATGACTTCTTCTATAGGCTCATGTTAATGTCAGCAGATTCTCACGTTTGTTCATCTTAACCTCAGACACAATGCTAATTCTCTCTTTTTTAAAAAAGATATTTTTTTTAGAGCAGTTTTAAGTTCACAGCAAAATGGAGAGGAAGGTACAGAGATTTCCCACATAACCTCTGCCCCCACACATGCATTCCACCCCCCACTGCCCATCATCGACATTCTCCACAGAGTGGTATGTTTGTTACTTGATGAACCTTCAGTGGCAACGATAATCACCCCAAATCTATAGCTGGCATTAGGGTTCACTCTTGGTGGTACACCTCCTGTGGGTTTGGACAAATGCATAATGACCTGTATCCACTATTTTAGTATCATATGGAATAATTTCACTGCCCTAAAAATCCTCTGTGTTCTCTTAACTTTAGACCTCAGTTGTTAATGACAACGGAGTTATACCAGTTTCCAAAGCTGGGCCAACTTTAGTCTATAGAAGTCAAAGAAAGAGCAAAATATGGGCACATTTAAACAACTGCTAATAACAAAAGGATTCAAACGAAGCTCCATATTGCTAAAAGGATTCTCTTATCCAGGTATTTGTTCCCCTTCGTTGAGGAAGCATTTTAAAAGGGAAAAAGGGAACTGAATAGTTATTTATGGATGGCATTTACTTACATTTTTCTCATTTATTCTGCAGGTTGATGCAGGGAGGTCAAGAGAGTCCCCAGTTAACACCCAGGAAGGGCTGGAGTAAGACCTTGACCTGGGCCTGCTTTACCCAAGGCCCATGCTCTCTGCTCCAGGTCATCTTGATGGCCTGTAGCATGGGGCTGTAAAGTCTCTCTTGTTACATCACATCAAGGAAAAATTGGGTACAATTTTTCCTAAAGGGAGGCTGGCCATATGAATTTGCTCAGAAGGGTCCCAGATACTGCCCTCCAATTTGTCTTTCCAAATTGATTTGGATGACAAATTACATGGTTTTCCTATCAATGGGCCGTGACACTCCCTTTCTCCAGGGTCTTGGAGATAAGACTCCAACTTCACCTGAAACTTACCACCAGGTATAAAAACTGAGGCCAGACAGGCTGCCCCTGCAACCATATTTGATGCAGCCCAAGGGTAACGGCGTCCGATGCGGTCGATGGTGAGGATGATCATGAAGGCAGCTGGGAATTCAACCAGGGCAGAGTAGAAGAAATCCAGGTAGATATTGTCACCTGCAAGGCCCATGTGCATGATGAGGCCCTGGTAGAGCACAGAGCTCGTGAACCTGAGCAAAGAGGAGAGTTCAGGTCAAGTCAAGCACCAAACACAGGGCACCAAAAAAGAGAGGCTTCTGGAAAAATAATGTGGATTGTAGGTCACCTTTCCCTGTGACCATCTCCTTGCTAGTCCCCCATCCCACTGCTTTTATAATCTCTGATCTACTTCAGTGGCTGGCTGTGGCTGGGTAGTTTCCAAAAACCAGGAGAAGGGAAGAAATTGGAATAGTTAGAACTAATTAGAAATTACGATAATGTTTCCTGGACAAATTGAAAGCCAAGAAGAATGTCTTAATGGAATGATTTATTTTATTTATTTATTTTTTGAGACAGAGTCACTCTGTTGCCCAGGCTGGAATGCAGTGGTGCAATCTTGGCTCACTGCAAACTCTACCTTTCAGTTTCAAGTTATTCCCCTGCCTCAGCCTCCCTAGTAGTTGGGATTACAGACGTGTACCACCTGCTAATTTTTGTGCTTTTAGTAGACATGGGGTTTTGCCATGTTAACCAGGCTGGTCTTGAACTCCTGGCTTCATGTGATCTGCCTGCCTCAGCCTCCCGAAATGCTGGGATTCCAGGTGTGAGCCACTGTGCCTGGCCAATGGAATGATTTATTTAGTAAAACTATATCAAGTTATTAGTGGTTGTGAGTTATTTCTCTCTTTGGGGTATTCTAGTGCAATTGGGATCGAAAGAACTGACTACTTAATTCAAATTTTAGGAAACCAGAAGACCAAGTGAGTACGGCCTCCCTTCTTGGTGACTTCTCTCCTGGCCTGTTACGAACAACATTTGGACAATGTTTCTAGTTTATTAACTAAACATAGTCATTACATGTAATGGAAAATATGAGGATAATCAACAAAAGTCACGATTACTCAGAAAAGGAAAGAAGGATAATGAGGCCAAATTTCAAAGCTGCCTCTCCTGTGCACTATTGTAAAGGTTGCTAAAGTAATTCCTCATGAGCTTTGCTTTTGTCAGTGATTGTAAATCTCCATTTGCCTGGGTGGAGATCCAATGTGCCCTGAAAAGATGCATTCCCCACTAGAGAAAGCATGGCTTGAAGCTCTGAGAGCAGCCTGTAGGTAGCAAACACAATAAAGATCAAGTCACTGGGCTGTGAAGCCACTGGAATTATTCTTGTTCAGAAATTTATTTTTTCTCCAGGTAGAAAAGAAAAAAAGGAAAGAAAAGGCAATCCCCCCACAACCCTGTTTTTTGTTTGTTTGTTTTTTGCCAGTTCTGTACTACAATAGAGATCTACATGCATCATCAATTAAGTTATACCAATAGTTCTCTAGTTGGGCTATGCATTTGAATCACCTGGAGAATTAAAAAACTATTGGTTTCCAAGCCCTACCCTAGAACAATTAAATCAGTATTTCTGGGGGTTTTGGCTTTGGTATTTTGTAAGCTCCCAGGTGATTCCAATGTGAAGCCGAGGTTGCCATTGCCTTGATCTGTGCTTAGGGGCTACACCGATCTTAATATTTGCCCAAGAAAAACACGATCAGGAAAACCTACCAGACACAACCCACATTGCTGCCCACCGTCAGCGCTAATACCGGGATGAGGTCATGTTTTCTTCCCTTCCTTACTATGGATGACTGTGATTAAAACAATTTGGAGGCATTTCAAAGTGAAAAATATTCCTTACCAGTTGTACATCAATATCATAGTATGTTTCCTTATCTGAGGAGTTCTGACCAAGTCAAGAAATGAAGGGTTCAATTTCTTGCCAGTTTCCTCTTCAAGTCTCAGGCGCTAAGAAAAGGAATAGAAAGGACGGCTTTGTATATTTAATGCTAGTGTCCCTGGGTCACATAGGGAATAACAATAATTTCTTACCGTCCTGAGCGCCCATCTCATGCCCAGCACTAGAGCAAGCACTTTCCATACTGTGTCCCATTTCATTTTTTTTTTTTTTTTTTTTTTGAGACTGAATCTTGCTCTGTCACCCAGGCTTGAGTGCAGTGGTGCAATCTCGGCTCACTGCAACCTCCACCTCCTGGGTTCAAGCAATCCTCTGCCTCAGCCTCCTGAGTAGCTGGGATTACAGGCATGCACCACAATGCCCAGCTTTTTTTTTTTTTTTTTTTTCCCCGAGACAGGGTCTTGCTCTATTGCCCAGGCTGGAGTGCAGTGGCACGATCTTGGCTCACTGAAACATCTGCCTCCCGGGCTCAAGGAATTCTTCTGCCTCAGCCTCCTGAGTAGCTGGGATTACAGGCATCCGCCACCATGCCCAGCTAATTTTTGTATTTTTAACAGAGATGGGGTTTCACCATGTTGGCCAGGCTGGTCTCAAACTCCTGACCTAGTGATCTGCCCGCCTCGGCTTCCCAAAGTGCTGGGATTACAGGCATGAGCCACTGCGCCCGACCAATTTTTGTATTTTTAGTAGAGGTGGGGTTTTGCCACGTTGGCCAGGCTGGTCTCGAGCTCCCAACCTCAGATGATCTACCTGCCTCTACCTCCCAAAGTGATGGCATTACAGGTGTGAGCCACTGCACCTGGCCTATTTTCGAATAAGCTTAATCTTCTCTTTTCTACCCGCTGTGGAATGAAAATGTTTGAGGTCAACGTGGTGAGATCTACTAAAGGCAAACAATAAACACAGGTAACGAACACCTCTGTAACTGGATTCTATTTAAGAAGGCAGGGGATTGCTTAAAAGCTTTTCAGCCTGGTGCGGTGGCTCATGCCTGTAATCCCAGCACTTTGGGAAGCCGAGGCTGGTGGATCACCTGAGGTCAGGAGTTCGAGATCAGCCTAGCCAACATGGCGAAACTCTGTCTCTACTAAAAACACAAAAATTAGCTTGGCGTGGTGGTGCTCGTCTGTAATTCTGGCTACTAGGGAGGCTGAAGCAGGAGAATCGCTTGAACCTGGGAAGTGGAGATTGCAGTGAGCCGAGATTGTGCCACTGCACTCCAACCTGGGTGACAGAGTAAGACTCCATCTCAAAAAAAAAAGCTTTTTGGACAATTTCTATCCAAAGTGTTTACAATTCTAAGAAATCATGTGTGTTTAAAGAACTGCTTTACTGATCTAAGAATCTGACCTGAGGATGGTGAATATGCAGATGATGGGGGTGCTGGGCACCTGGGCATAGGAGACTGGTGAAGGCTTAAGTTGCACAAGACAGAAGCTCCTCACGTGACCTTTAAATGATTTCTGGTTCTCTTTTAGTTTGATGGTTTCCACCTGTTTGAAATATTCTCCCACGGAACCACAAATCTTAGCATATAAAATTCTCTGTTGCATTCCGCTACAGGTAAGCCAAAATGCAAGGGGGTGGGTGCTTCCATGGTTCCCTGCTGAGATCACTGGCATGCATGAATCTTACCAGAGCCTCCCTTTTCTCCATCCCCTGATTTGATACTTAAGGCCCTGGCTCACCTGAAGGGAGGCGGGTAGAGATTTTCCATTTTTCTTTGCGATGTGCTTAATGATTCTCATGGCTTCAGCATTCTTATTCTGGGAGATCAGCCACCTGGGAGACTCAGGTATGCACCTAGGGTACAAGGTGAGCGGAGGGCAACTCTTACTGAATCCTCCTTACCCCATCCCCCATTTTTTTATAATCAGATTTCTCTGAGGATGTTAATACAGTTGGATCTCCAAAGAAAATAACACTCGTGTAGGGGGATATGTGGTTCTTTCCTCCCTCAAATGCTAAATCCCTCCTCAGGGATTTCTAAGCAGAAACACAGGAAGCAAGCTGCAAAGCAGGGTGCGGCTGAACATCCAGCTCCTCTTGCAAGGAGGAGAGGCAGGTCCCTCAGGGTGGCCCTGGGCTTTGCAAAGGCCTGAGAACTGGCAGAGGGGTCAAGGACTGGATGCTGGAGTATGCAAACCATTGTGGGGGTGGGGAGCAAGTATGTATATGTGTTATGCTCAATTTCCCAAAGGAATGAGATAAGAATTTGAGGTCAGAGGGTGAGGTAACTGAAAAGCGAGACTTCATAGTTTGAGTTTGATGTAGCAGGGCTCGGGGAGCCCTTGCAAGTTTTTGAGCAAGACTAGAACTATTGACTCTGTGTCTGGAGGGAACTCTGAGCAGCTGGGTTCAGGGTGAATGAGTTCAGGGTGGAGGTTCAGCGGGAGGAGAAACTGGAGAAAGGAGATAATAGGGCTGCTGCTGTGGCAGTTATGGTGTAAATGTAGGAAGGCCCCAGTTGGGATCATCACTCTGGGAGCGAAGTTGCTCTGAGAGGCAGGGCTTAAAAGGAACTTGGAATGGATGTTTTTGTGGAAGTGTAATAGAGACAGCAGGAAGGGTCACTCTCAGGGTATAATGGACTGAATGTTTCTGTCCCCGCTGAAGCGCATGCACTGATGCCCTCACCCCCAGTGTGCAATTTGGAGTTGGGGCCTGTGGCAGGTAATTAAGTTTAGCTGAGGTCTGGAGAGTGGGGCCCCCAGATATCCTTACAAGAAGAGGAAGAGAGACTAGAGTGTTATTTTTTCTTCACCATGTGAGGGCCCACAAGTGGGATGTCTGCAAGTCAGGAAGTGGGCTCCCATCAGGAACAAATCTGCCAGCACCTGGATCTTAGACTTCCCAGCCTCCAGAACTATGGGAAATATGTTTTTAAGTACCCGGTCCATGGCATTTTGTCACTGCAGTCTGAGCTGGTAAAACACAGAGTTTTATTGGCTTTTGGATAAGAAACAGGCTTCTGGGAAAGAGTTGAGATGTTTAATTCTTAGGCAAGACAGCCATGGGAAGAACAAGTGGGTAAATCCAGGAGAAACTAAATAAATGGGTTGTAGCATGGGAGAGAGATTTGGTCTGATAATCCAGTATCCCCTTTGCTTTATTTCAGATAATCTCACATTAGGGGTTTCTAAGAGTTTCTGGTATTTCCCATGTGTTTCCCTTAGGCAGGGATGACTAATATATTTTACTTGCCTTGGTAACTCTGATTGATTGGTATGGTCTGTCTGGAGTGTCATGTTGGCCTTATCTGTGATGAAGAATACTGTGATTCACTGGGGATGTCTGCCTTGGGCATGAGTATTGGGAAATGGTGACACAAGTGCCATGCTCTGCTTTCTCCACCCTAAAGTTTCCTCTGAGTGGGGAGAGAATAGTAATAGTGATATTTTCAGTCTCTTCAAAGGGTCTACCGTCCAAATTGTACCACAGCTCCTAGAAGCTAATTTAAACACCAAATAAATAATGTGGAAATGTAAGATCCAAGTCATAAAAACTTTAAGCCCAAAGAGAAAGGACATTTGATTTACAGACGGAGAGGTGAAGCTTGTGGTTTTTATTCCTGAAACATGGAATTGGGCTCTTTGTGAAATGGGTCTGGAGAGTGAAAGCAATCTCAGAATCAGAAAGATAGTGTGCATTAAGGAAGGCAGACTTCTTAGCAGAATAAAATACTTTGATTTATTTCCTTTTTATTCCAAATGGACTTACCAGTAATAGAGCAAGAAGAAGAAGTTGGGCAGAGAAACTGTGAACTGCAACCACCTCCAGTGAGGAAGTGCGTAAGCCACCCCAGCTAGCACCAGGAGCCCAACTGTATAGGCAACTTGGTAAAAAATCCCCACTGTTCTCCGATATCTCCGCCCAACAAATTCTGTAACTGCAGAGAGAATTTGAATGGTTAATGCAATTCAATACAATAATGAGTTGGCTGTCCAGCTATCAGGAAACTAGAACACCAACCTCAAAAATATAGACAAATTCTAGAATATTCTACGCAACTCTCTGAATATTTTTAAGTGTTTTTTGGTTTTTATTTTGTTATAACTATTGCTGTTTTACTAATTAATAAATCTTATAGTCCCATTGTAGATGGGATGAAAGGCCTGCCAACATAAGCAAACACATTTGATTTATAATTTTCATGATGCAATTGTATTTCAGATACATGCAAGATTTTGACCTAGAGTAGTAACTCAAGACCTGAACAAATGAATCAAACATTAAATTTAGACCGTAGATGATTTTTATGTAAATGAACACCTGAGTATAACTTGTTCTCTTACATGGGTTTAACATTTATCTTGCAAGTCCTATTTGTTTATTTGTATAAATGGCTTGGTAACTTAGCAGAGGGCTGGAATCAGCTAGTGCTGGCTGGCAGGAACTGGTTTTACATGCTGGGGAATTTTACAAGCTGGTGGTTCAACCCGTTGGTATCAGCCATAGTGAGAATATTGCTATAAAGATGCTATGATGTTAGAAGTCAAATATTCTCTTATAGTATATGGAACTTAACTGTAACTCTGGCTACTAAGGAATAGGATGTAAGTTATATTCCTCGTCCTAAAAATGGCTGGCTGAGTAACCTAGGTTGACTACAGTACTTGTGTTTTCAGTTTCCTTATGTGTAAGTTGAGGATAATTGTAGTTCACTAGAATAGATTTTTGCAAAGTATTAAAGTCCTTTATAAATCTACTATATCTCTCATCACTGATTCTTCTTTATGAATAGGTCTGGTAGGATGAATTTTCTTTCCACACAATACTCCAGGGTACAGAAAACAAAAATTCCAAAAAAGTTACATAAGAATCTGGGTGGCATTATGTTTACCCTTGTTTCTGCCTTCATTTTTTTAGTTTATAAGGAGGAATGCTGAATGAGTTGATATGCTTTTAGGAATTCTTTTGATACAGAAATAAAAAAATCTCTCAATATTGTCTTGAAGCTGGGTCCCTTTTCTTGCATGCCGCCCCCCACCTGACTCTATTTTGGCAGCGAGGTTGCTTTGTTCTCACAGTTGCAAGCACAAACATTCTTACTCAGGATGTAGCCTATTAACCAGCCTGCTTTGCTGACCAGTCCTTGGATTAAGCGAAAAATTAACATCCACGTATAGGTTGGGGAAATGGCCATGAGAACTCCAGCTGCAGCATTTATGAGGACTGTAGTTAGGAGGCAGAGCTTACGGCCAAACCTGCAGGAAGAAAAACAAAGAGAGGGAATTGAATTAATTTTGATTTGTGAAGATTGTGGAAAATGCATGGAAGTTATGGAAATCTAAACAAAGTTAGAGGTTAACTTTAAATTTTATGAATCCAGGAGGCACAGACTGATAGCCACAAAGGGAATCTGTGACTCCAGGTCCAGGTAGCACTTTTCATCAGCACACTATGTGTAAGTTTTCAGCATGATAAGCCCCATTCACCCCAGGGTTCAAGTACTTTCTCAGTCCCACACTGTGGCAGGTATTCAGGGAAAGAGTAATTCATCCAGGCCATCCTGTGCTGAATACCCTATGGTCCTAACTAGGTCTTACATCACCATGTGAGCTGCGGCCTTTGCACTAACAATTTCAACCAATTATCCACCCAAGAATGTTTTCACTTTTTCACTTTGAAAACAAAATTCAGTGTTCAGTATATACCCCCTTTCTTTTTCAACAGTGCTTTTAGGCTTTGTGAAAATTGTCTTTGGTGCCACACATGTTACTATCCTATGGGGGCCTCTGTTTGGAGCACCCTGGGAAGACAGCTTCCACACATCAGATTTGGGAGACTTAGGTTTATTCAGTTTAGGGATTTGGAAAGTTGTCCCAGTATATGGAATAGAGGAAAACAATTGGCAACCTGGGTTTCATCATGACCTTCCTACTTACTATGATGTTGGGCAACCTATTCAACCATATTCAGTGTCTTCATCTGGAAAAGACCCATCTGACCCAGCTGAAAAGAGGATTAAGTGAGATATTAGAGGTAAGGAGCTTGGCACATAGCCTGCCTCCGACCCCTTCCTTCCTTTTTTCCTTCTGTTTGCAAACCTGGCTCAGCTCAGAGAGTTGACCTGGGGCCCAATACTGTTATTTTCGCCATGTCCTGGTTTGCTTGTAAAAGACACCCTAATCCACTTAGTGGATATTTAAAAAAATTCTTCACAGAAAACAATGTTTATTTAATCTTTGTCTTTCCACTTCAATTGGAAGGATGGCTTTTTGTTATCAGGATTGCTCCTTTTAATGGTGGATAAACATTGTTTAATTGATGCTTTTATTATTATGCAACTATATTCTAGTGAAGGTGTCAAATACTAACCATTTCAAAATAATCCACATTATTAATAATTATTTTGGAAGAGTAATATTTTAAATATGAAATTTTAAGGTTAAGCAGTTACATTGGTAATTAGTATTAACTAGTAAATTTCTTAAGTCTTAAAACTCTGTTTTGACCATGTAATTTCATTTTTAAAAATTTTTATTTTTAGTTCTGGGGTACATGTGCAGGATGTGCAGGTTTGTCACATAGGGAAATGTGTGCCATTGTGGTTTGCTGTACCTATCAACCCATCACCTAGGTAACGATGTAATTTCTTAATTCTCAGTCAATGGCTCCCTGCTGTAAATATACAACCTCTTGGCCTCTAATTCAAAGCCTTCCAAAGTCATATCTCAACTTAATTTTTTAGCATTTCTTCCCACATTTTCCTACCCAAACCCCTTCCTTTACCCTCAAAGAGTATATAATCTATAAACATTGACTCAAATGGTACTTCTTCAACTTTCAAAACTGCTTCAGGCACACAGTAGAACACCACAGTAGTGCCCCATGTAGATGGACAAAATCTTTTAGGTGATGAGAGGGAATATTCATCATCTGAAACTCAGAGCAAGAAAATCAAATCCATGATGTGGAAAAACTTCACTGGAGACATGTTCCACATAGGGAAGCAATGCTACTTAAAAGAATAATAAGGCATGGCTAGAATAAATTTGGGGAATCTGGGATAGAGGTCTGAGACTCCTCCTACCCCTCAGCAGGGCTATTTAAATGGTTAAATGGAAAACAATCAGAAGAAACAGGACAGGAAGGGTGGACTCCCCATACTGCTGGCTTGGTAAGTCTTTTAGCTACTTGTGACTCAGAATGTGGCTGAGGACTATTAGCATGGGCTTGGGAACAGCATCACCTGGGAGCTGGTTAGAAATACAGAATTTTGGGCCCACCCAGATCTGCTGGATCAGAATCTGAATTTTAGCAAGATCCCCAGGAGATTTATATGCAACTTAGCATTTGGGAAGCAGTGCTTTAATTTCACAGAGCCTCGGTTTCTTCATCCATTGTAAATTATGGATAATGAAATCTACTTTAAAAGGCTCTCGTGATCCTAAATGAAATATAACAAATGAGGATGCCCAGTAAAGTGACTAGCACACAGTAATCAGTGGTGAACGTGTTTTGGAAGATCCCATATAGTTGGGTAAGTATGACTGCAACCCACTGGGACTTTAGTTCTGCTTTTGATGCAGGACAGGCAAGCACCAAAATTGGGGCTTAGCCTGGGAGGGTTCTTGGCTTTGCCCAGGAAAGAATTCAAGGGCAAGCTGGTGTTGTTAAATAGCCATTTTTATTGAAGCTGCAATGTATAGCAGCAGCACCTCTGTTCCTTGTGGAGCAGGGATATTCCATAGGCAGTGTGCCTGGAATAGCAGCTCAGAGGAGTCTGTTCTGTACTCATATTTATTTTTAATTATATGCAAATTAATTTAAATTATAAATTTGATTATATGCAACCCACGTTTAATTATATGCAAATTAAGGGGTGGCTTATGCAGAAATTTCTAGGAAAAGGGTGGTAACTTCTGGGTTGTAGAGTCATTGCCATTAAAAGGGGCTGGAGATTGCCATGTTGCCATGGCAATAGTAAACCGACATGGTGCACTGGTGGTCATGTCTTATGGAAAGCTGCTCCTGCCTGGGACCTGTTTTAGCTAGTCCTCAGTTTGGTCTGGTGTCCAAGCCCCGCCTCCAGAGTCAAGTCCCTCCTCCTAGCTCACTTTGATCTAGTTCCATCACAACACATAAAAGTAGGGTGCTGGCTCTTAAGAGCTAATGATCAGACTTACAGAAAATTTGCAAGCTAATTGTTAGCATAACCATTATTAAAAATTAAATTATATACATTTACAACTAAATTATATTGAAAGCAAGTGTAATATGCAAAACATCACTTTCCAATGATTTTACTATATTTGGCCATCTGTGCTTGTGAGGTTATTTACATCTACTGTATCTGCATGGTGGAAATGCTGTGTAATGGTGCACACTTCTAGCCAACTCTATGTCCTGTGATGTCATTTTTGTAGGCTGAAGTGAACCACAGTGGGTATATTTACACCAGAGCAATCAATAAACACTACAAACTGGGGCTTTCCCTCCCAGAGAACTAGTTGTTAAGCATTCACAAGCATGACACAGTAAATATAGCACTTATGGCCACATGCAGTGGCTCATGCCTATAATCCCAGCACTTTGGGAGGTCAAGGAGGGCAGATCACCTAAGGTCAGTAGTTCGAGATCAACCTGGCCAACATGGTGAAACCCTGTCTCTACTAAAAATACAAAAATTAGCTGGGCATGGTGGTAGGCGCCTGTAATCCCAGCTACTCAGGAGGCTGAGGCAGGAGAATTGCTTGAACCCAGGAGGCAGAGGCTGCAGTGAGCCAAGATTGCACCACTGCACTCTAGCCTGGGCGATAGAGTGAGACTCTGTCTCAAAAAATAAAAAAAATAAAAAATATAGTACTTATAATTGCTGCTTGTTAAAATTAAAAAAACCCTGGGATTGGTGAGGAATTGCTTTTTTGTCTCAGGTGACACTCAAAATCATTGATGAGGAAGTTATGGGTTATACTTGGGTCCACTCTTAGTCTTATTTACAATCTTTTCATAATGCCTTACTGTTTTTTTAAAAAATTATTCATGGAAGACAATGTGTTTTATTTAAAGTTGGCTTAATCTGTGAATACAATGGGGATCCATGACATTCTTGTCCTATTGTATAAAATCTGGAAATTGTAGGCATTAACTATACAAAAAACAAATTGCTTTCTCATTTCTTTAGGCTAGGCTTCTCACTCCTGCATGCAGGCACAGAACAGAAGAAGGGCAATGACCGGCCAAGCTTCAGATGGTGTAAGAAAAAGAAGTCGAGGCATGGAGACAGCCTTTGGGGGAAGAATAATGAGTACTTACCTTGACAGAGGGGATTTCAACAATAGGAACAAAATAATGAGATCATCTAAGAAGGTGGATAATTGACCAGGGCTTATAACACAGGAATGCACTGTCAGTAGGGATTTATGACCAATCTCCTACTTGTTGAGTGGGATGTGAATAATTAACTAATTTCTTAACCCACTGAGCAAGGGTTAAAGATTGAGTCACCTGTTTACTCACAGCCTGTCAGGGAGTGAGTGTTAGCACCTCTACCTGGTGGCGGAGGAGGGAGTGCAGAGAGAGTGAATGCCTGCAGGGCCAGAGCTGCCCAGGGGTGCAAGGTGGACTCCGGACCTCCCCTTGTTAATGTGTCTCTCCTGATTTAATGCGTCATCTTTAAAGAATCATCCTCAATTCTGCAGCAATAAAAATAAAAACCTTCCCTTTCACCTTGCAAGCCTCCCGCAGAAAGCCCCAGGAAGAGCCTTGTCAGGGCAGCTGAGGAGACAATTAATAACCATGGGTGATGGATGAGGTGCACGTGGCCTGTGCCTCCACTTTTATCCCTCTTCCCTTCTGCTGCCAGTTGGGCCCCAGGCCCCTGTGAAGTGCATATGCCTTGGGGGTGTGATATATTAAGCCATCATTATTCATCCTTAACACATTTGCAAGTTTTAATTCAGCCTAAAATAATATAATCAGAGAAAATGTTCTACTTGCATTTAACATTATACTCACAGGTTTGGATTATATCATAGATGTAGTTGGGGATGGCATGGGAGGGCAACAAGCATAAAATGCATTGACTTTACCATGTATTTCAGTTATATATTTATATTTTACATGTAAATTCATAATTATATATTTATATCTAGATAAAATTATATGTTTGTGTATTATATATAATAATCTATAGTTATGTATCACTATCTCACTAGGTGATTGCTGATTAAGGGGAATACTATTACCCACAATGTTGAACACAGTGCCTGGCCATGGAAAACACTCAATAAACGGTGTTATGAATATTAAATAATTAGCCCTGACGGCCAAGTTATCTAAAGTGCCTATCAACTATGAAGCAAATTTTTGGTTCCTTTTCCTTTTGAGGACTTCTAAAAATGTCTCATTGGTCATCAAGAGAGCAAAGCTGCATGTTGTAGGAAACTTGCAGCACAGTGAGTGTGGGATTCCAAAATGCTGGATAAGTAAGAGACATAGCAATAGCTTGATCCATACAAACACTGACTACTAGCTTGCTGAAGACAAGACTCATCAGAGAGGCCTCTCGTCATCTCTCCAGGGACAATGATATTGCAGAGGTGGACATTTACCCCTCGTGTTGTAGGCAGACCCTGTTTCCCTTTCTTTAAGTTATGGCTTCCACATATATGGTCATATATGGCCCCAGGAACCCAATTCAGGACTCTTGCAATCCCACGGGTATTAGGGAGATTCTACATTGGGCCTGGTGCTGGGGGCTCCCAGCATATGCGAGACAAGCAGAGGATAGGATTGAGCTCAGAGGCCCTGAAGGCTGATGGCCAGGTGGATGGTGATGAGGCCAAAAAATGAATTGGGAATTACAAAAGGGATGAGATCATCTGTTACTCTCCCTTCCGACTTGAAGCTTCTGCATAGCCCCCATGGAAGATTTGCTGTGTAATGTTGAAATATCTGTCTATGACCCCAGAGAATTTGAAAATAAAGACATTGGTCATGGTTATCCAAGCAGCAGAAGAAATTTAAGATTGTAAAAACACCAGCATGAAGGCCAGGAGATTGTGGTCTGTGTGCTTGGGAAAGGATGGGATTCAAGCAGGGGCAGGTGCATCCAAGTGTTCTCCAAACCTTTGGGATTGTTTAAATTCCACCACAGGTGATTCAACCTACCTGTCTGCTATGTAGCCGATACTCATAGAGCCAATAAAGAATCCTACATTCACTGATGACTGGAATAGGTCCAACATCCAGGAGTTGGCACATACCAGGTTAAACTGCCAGCAGGGGAGAAGTGTTCCAAGTTGGGAGAGAAAGGAAATGAAATCCTGTTAGAATCCTGTTGGACATAACTCAGCTAGGGTACTCATTAAATATTCCTTGAATTGAACTGTATAGTTAAGTGGCAATAAGCCATTGTTTCTTGATCATGCCAATTTTCTTCTTCTTCTCTCTCTCTCTCTTTTTTTTTTTTTTTTGTGAGACAGGGTCTTGCTCTGTCACCCAGGCTGGAGTACAGTGGTGATCATGGCTCACTGCAGCCTCGACCTCCTGGGCTCATGTGATCCTCACACCTCAGCCTCCCAAAATGCTGGCATTATAGGCGTGAGCCACTGTGCCCAGCCTCAGTTTTCTTTACATAACCAAAAGGCTTGCCCTTCCATCTGGCAATTTGTCATGAAGCTAAAACTACAGCATTGGCTAAATCAGCTGAAACTGGGTAATTACTTATAGACAAATTTATTTTTTCCTTTCTAATTTCAATGCACATGCAGATAGGTGTGTGGACGTGATACAATGCAGGCACCAGGAGGTTGGGCCATTTAGCATCTCCCTGCTGTCTGTTTAATAAAAGGGGATTAGGAGTGACTGCTGAAGGCTGCTGCATTTGCTCTTATTTGGAATAAGAGGAGGTGGTCGGGTGGAGCAGGTGCTGGACCAGGTCAGGAGACCCATCTTTTAGGGCTAACCCTGCTAAGTTATTCACTGTGTGGCCTGGGGAAAAACCTTCTCTGCTTGGGGCCTCAGTTTCCTCATCTCTGTAGGAAGCAATGAGATTGGCCATGTGAGAGAGCCTCGGAGAGTTTGTGGTGTGAAGCCCATGAGCTGCCACATTTCCTGTAAATATCTGACCACTTTAGACCCTTCAAATTAGACTCTACCTACCCATCTGTTCACACAGAATATCTTCCCATTGTCCAAGCAGTCATTTTAAATTAAACTAGGCAACTGGCTCTCTCAGTATTTTCAGGTAACTTAATTCCCCTATTTTGCTTTGCTTTCAATAAAAGCAAGCTCCATTTTTTGTCTTTTTTTCTATTATATTTATTGGAATCAGGCTTCACAAATAGCTTTTGATGTCATCTGTAGTTTTTAACAAAATAATAGTGCCATAGCATGATCTCCAGCCCCAAATGATTTTATATGAACACTTTGAGGAAATTAAAGAGAAAAAATAGGTATCGAGAGAAAAGCACATCCTATCACACAGTCAGGCACAGTTCAGTTGAGTTCCACGGGCTTTCAGGTGTGTGTGGGCATCTGCGGGATGGAGGAATAGAGGGGGAGGTAAGGCTTCCAGAAAAAGAGGAGGATCCACAATATCCCTATCTTGGCAACATTTCCAGGAGTCCTAATATGCTTTGGCCTGTTCCTTATTGCTGGGACATGCACAAACTAGAATCATTATTGTCAGCATCTGAGGACGTTTTAACTAATCCAGTTATTCTCCAGACAAATTAGAAGCTGCATGTTCTCATTTGGAAACTAGGATTTTGTAAGATACATGCAGGCCAAAGAGATGTCCAGGCAGGGTTTATAAGAGCCGGGCCTTCCCTGCTTGCTTCCTTGAGAAAATCTCCACCATTTGCTTCTCCATCTGAGCCCTGAGCTCACTCTCTTACCTCGGTGACGATGGACGAGCCAGGCGTCTCGTACACCCAGCCGTCCCGGCAGGGGCCCAGTGGCAGGCGGCTCCTGTTGGTGTCCAGGCTGGCCAGGGGGTCCACGCAGTCGAAGGTGCTCTGGTTCCAGTCCACCTCGTAGCGCCTACACTGTCTTGGGGAGGCTTCGCCCGCAGGTCCTGGGCCCGGCACCGTGTAGTTCAGTTCCTCTGCAGGACTCCAGCCGCAGCGCAGACTCAGCTCGGCCACTCCGGGGCTCCGGCAGCGGTGGTCAGGGGTGAAGCCCAGGAAGACGATGCCCACGTAGATGGGCGCGAAGGTAGCCGAGAGCAGAGCCAAGAGGAAAAACATTTGCTTCTGGAAAAAGTGAAACTCCCCTCCATGCTCCAGGACATCGTCCACGGTGGTGGGCATGATCCTGCAGGCAGGAGGGCCCGAGGCTGCCCGACGTGCCCGGAGCGAGGCTGAGAGCGGCTGCAGCCAGCTCAGCACAAACCCTGGCCAGAAGTCAAAGAGGGGAGTTTACCTCTGCAAGTGACCAGCCTTCAGGGCAGGGCCTTTCCTTGGTCCAGCTGACTTCAAAGGTGCACCCCTCCAGCGGGGGTGCATGTCCTTCTGCACTTCCCAAATGCCCTGAGCTCACTCCCAGGATGCCTGTCGTGTTTATTATAACTGGTTCTCCACAGGCTTGTCGGTGCTCCACGCCAGCAGCACAAACAACCCGCCCTCTGTGTCCCACCGCAGGGAATCTGAGTGCTGGCCCATATCACAGCCCAGTAATCTTCCCGTAGTGCCCCGAGCAGCCAGGAACTTAATATACTCCTATCTCATGCGCACCGCCAGCTTTTCTTCAAGGCCCTATGGAGAAAACACACGTGTTTGGCCACAAGGCCCAGCGTGATGTGAACCAGGATCCGTGTCAGAACCCTGGTCCAGATTCGAAGTGGGTTGCAAGCCTGACTGCTGGGCTCATTCTCCAACCAACAACAAGAGCCGTCGGGATGCATGCTGGGGCTGCTTGTTTTGATGTTGTCCAGATTTTATAACTCTGCTTTTAAAAAGTGTTTGCTCCAATCTGGTATTCCTGCGTTTCAACCCTGAAGTGTCCTTCCCCTTAACCCATCTGGAGGGAAAGAGGAAAGTGTTTACGTCGCAGACAGGTCAAGTGTAAATGCAGGCAGGTGTGTCCAAGCCACTATCTTTGTGTCCTAGATTTTTCTGTCAAGGTCTGTTGGGGCTCAGAAATCCATGCCCCAAGGTGGAGGCCTCAGAAGCAAAGTCTCTCTCTCTGACCTTCTCCTGCCCTCCTGTCTCTTCTCTCACCCATCATTCTCCCCCGGGGCAAGCCATAGAACTGAGAATCCTTCTTCCTCAAAGCAGCTCGTGGAAACCAGACTCTTTTCTCCCCAAAGCCAGCCAGAAAGCCTAGAAATACCACTGTAACTTCCCCGCTGCCTTTCTGTGTAACAGTGGGCCGTAAAGAAATCCAGACCCGCATTCCAGAGGAGTCTTGTCCCCGGTGCCTGGAGGAAGGAGTGCTGCACAGAGGGGCCAAGACGGATCTGAACAGACAGGCCTTGCTGGGTTTTCCCCTCAGCCTGCGAACATGGGCTGCTGCCCTTTTTGTCCAACTACAGTTCTATACTGCCATCCAGTTTTCCCTGTATCTGTGGGTCTTCATTCTGAATGAAGGCTCCTGTGTCATGTAAAACGTGATCAAATAAATTTGTCATGCTTTTCTCTTGTTAACCTGTCTTTTGTTATAGGGGTGTTGGCCGTGAGCCTTAGGATAAGGAAGAAAGGGATCACCCCTTTCTGCTCTCACACATCAGGGGCATCTCTTTAGGATGATGTTGTTGCATCTAAATGCAAGACAAACAGGAAATTTGTCTTTCCTGGTGGACAAAAGGATTCTTAATACATCGTGATCCTGCCAAGTAGAGAAGGTGGCCTGCTGACATATCTGCAAACTAAATACCAGAAAGTTAACCCGATTTTCCTTCTCCTTCTTTTTTCTATTGGATAGTCAGCAGGTGTAATAGCGTAGTCTAAAAGGAGCGACCCACGGGGTCTTTCTCCTTGCCGCAGCTGCAGGCTTCTTATTTTCTTAAAAAAGCAAAAAGCAGGGCGCCGGCAAGGACATCCATTGACCTCCACTGCGGCTGTGTTGGGCACACAGAGGCACTCTGCTTCGTGGTGCCCTGGGCTGCTGCCAGCCCCGTTTGCTCTGAGCTGAATGAGGGGGCTCAGTTCTGTTTAGGGACTTCCCATTCGCAGCCAGCATCGTGAGTGCATGAGCCGGAAGCCAAGGCTGCTCTGTCTGCACCTGTTCCCCGTCAAAGAGCTGTAGGAGGGCGAGTTAAAGAGTTAAAAAGTGACAGAGGTTGTCAAACTTTACTCTACCCCAAGGGCCAAGAGATGCTCCTGACTGCCTCTTACAAGAAATTTGCAGACACGTGCACTTGGGTTTGACTCACTTAACATGTCAAGACATCAGATCTTCACGTCATGAGCAAGGGGCACAAGGTAAGGGCCAGAAGAGCTTTGCTGGCCAATGGGAAACAATGTTGAAATTTGCTACAAATTACTTAGAGGGAACAATCAGATAAGGAGAAGTTCAGACCTCAGGTTGCTTACAGCAATGCGTTTACACAGTCATTCAACATTGTTCTGTGGATGCACGAGTCACAGCACAGCTGCCATAAAATCAATCCCATAAGGTGACAGACCCTACAGAGAAGCCACATGGGCAGTGAGCAACTCAGGGAAAGAAACCACAGAGAGGAGGGGTAGACACCCTACGGTTTGAGTCCAGGTATCTTGGGAAATTGTCACTTCTTTTATGGGGGTGCTTACATATTCAGAAGCATGACTGGAGTGTAATCTGATCATTTAATCCATATAACCTGGTAATATATTATAATTAATGTCAGAAGTATTTCTCAACCTCTTATCAGGTTTCTCTGCAATGTAAATAAATATTGCCCCAGTGTACCACCCTTTCTACGGCACTGAGGAAGGCCAGTTGTGCCCAGACTAACCTTCTGGGCCCCCTGCACAAAAAGACACGGGGGCAGTTAGGGTGGGAAGTTAGGATGGATGAATCCTACCTATCCCATGGCAAGCCAGACATCAGGTACTTAGAGGATGACATGGCAGAAGCAGTGAGACCCATCTTCAATGGAACGTAGGCTTTTGGGTCATTTGTTAAGCAGGATGATTTTAGAAATCAATATCTGGTCTATTGAGGTCTATGCAACCTGCTTGGCTAAGGTGACGTCTACCTGAGACAAAAATGATAGAAATAGGTTGTCTCACAGTGACGGGTGCCATCTGTCCTCTACGCAGCTAAGATGGAAAAGCAGTGGGAGCAAAGGGGAGGGTCAGCAGAGCAGCAGAGCCTGGACTGTAGCCCAGCCTGGCCCTAATGTATCCGTGTCACCAGGGCAAGTTCTAATACCTCTTGTAACAGGGCCATTATCCCTAAGTCAGAGAGCTGATGGATGAGATCGCATAGGACTATTACTGAGCACAGTGGCTTCAATAGTTGGAAGTTATTCACGGAGACACTTTCACCCTCTCTATTCCTCCCTTGTTTTCTTCCTCGGTGCACCCCATCCATCCGTCACGTGCCTTGTTCTCCTTCCTCAACTTCCTGCTGCCCACTTGCATCACAGCAGGGTGGGCTGGGTGTAGGGCTCCTGGCCAGGCACAGTGGCAGGTGATCTGTGGGAGGATCGCAGAGCCTCCCAGAGGGAAGGCAGCTTAGAGGACAGTAGGCAGCACCATCTGACACTTCAATTCCTCAACACCTGTCCCAAGTAGTTACACGGAAATGCTTTCAGTATTGGCTGAACCCAGGCTGTTGTTGGACTTTACAGATTGCTGGAAATATCTTCCTCATAGCACAACAGGATTCATCTTCCAGAACTTTCCACACATTTGGACACTATTCTCCCTTTTGGGGTCAGGTAGATTAAGTTAAAACCTTCCTACACAGAACTTTGGATATTTGAAGCTTCTGTTTACCTCCAACTCTTGTCTTTTCAGAGTAAATGTTCCCAGCTCCCCACATAGTGAACATGTTCTTCTCACCACCACCAGGGACAGCCCTGAACTCTGTTTTGGTTTATCTCTTGCCTCCAGGGGAGGAGTCTGGGGCCTGGCACATCACTTGGGTGGGTCCCCCGGGTGCGCTGTAGAGCCAGCGGTTATCTCCTCCTGCAGAGCTGGGGCTAACATCCCTCAGTGAGTTCAGTGTGCAGAAGGCAACTCTAAACCACTTCTATTGCCATCCTGCTGAGCGAGGCTTCCGGGAGGGCTGACTAGAACTCTCCTTGGGCTTTCTTCATCAGTGTCGTTCTGATTTTATTCATTTCTCTTTACTGGTTCTATTTTCCCTACAAAATGTTAGCTCTGTGCCGATATCCTTTGAGGCAGGAAATTGGAATTCGCCTGGTGATGATAGGAGGCATCTGTTGGGGGAGGAGGGGGCATGAGGGTGGCTAACTCACCCCTCCTGTGGTTCCCACTCCACTTTCCTCTTATACTCCCGGCCTTCACACCAAGCCTGTAGCTCTAGAAATCACAAAAGGACTGGACCCTGTTCTTTAAAAGGCAAAGCATGAGTCTAACACAAAACCACAGAGAGGATCCAGCGGACTTCACGGGTGTAATTTTGAAGAGTTCTAGGGAATCATTTTGTAAAAGACCCAGTTAAGTAAGTACTAAGTTTTCTTTTTCTCAGATATTCATTTTTAAAGGCTGTATTATTACTCTATGTAAAATTAAGTGCAAAGTATTTGGTTTGGCCCTGGGCTTCCAAGTTAGTGGTGGGGTTTAGGACATGCCGCCCCAAAATTCAGAACCCTGGCATTTGAGAAAAGAGGCAGAGGCAGAAAGATCTCTCACGTTCCCTGCTCTTCTCCCCTGAAGCAGGTCAGTCATAGGACCTGCGTTTGAGACGTGCCCTGTTGATACCTGGAGGAAAGAAACGTCCTTATCTCTGAAGACACAAGACTTCAGAGATAGATCTGAACAAACACCTCTTCGTAAGTTTCCCCTGGTTTATTGCCATTAGATCATAGCCTGTTTGTGCAATCACACTTCCCCACACTGTCCACTCTTCACCAACCTAAGCTTAAAAATATTCAGATTTCTCTGTTTCTTTGGGCCTTCTCTTCTGAAGGCCCTGGTGTCTTGTAAAATATGGGTAAATGTATATGATTTTCTTTTGTTAATCTCTCTCGTGTTAGTAGGGGCCACAGCTGTGCACCTAGCCATGGGCAAGGAAAAGCTGTTTTCTCCTTCCTCTTCCATGAGGTTAAGTGTGCAGCTGGGATGTGCTGCAGGACCAGGGCCAGGTGTGGGGCTCATGCCTATCACGCCAGTGCTTTGGGAGGCCAAGGTGGGAGGATCCCTTGAGCCCAGTAGTTCAAGACCAGCCTGGGCAACACAGTGAGACCCTGTTCCTAAAAAAATTTAAAAAATTAAAAAAATAAAAACATGCCACAGGACCACTGCTCAGAGCTCTTTGGTCTGGCAACCCTGGACCTTCACATGGTTTTGTTTGCCAAAGCAAAGTCCTTATTAATATCCAAATACAGTTTGAGTTTTCTTGGGCTTTATCCTCTCCAGAAACCCAGGAGTGTGTCAACTTCTTGGTTGCATTGCTTTCTTCAAAGAGAGAGTGAATCCGGTAGAGATAGAAAGGATGTCCTTTACGTATCCCACAGCGGCCTCACGGAGAACGATAAGAGAACAATCATTAAAACTTTCATTGCCATAATTTTCTGCTTTCGTTTTTTAAAAGTTTGGGTTAGCAACCAATTTCCTCCTTGACCAGGTGATTTTTTCCTTAGACTGTTTATCCAGAGCATTAAGGAAAACAGAGCATACCACCCTCCCACCATAGCTGATAAGGGGATTCAACACAGGTGCGTGTGCTAGAGTTAAGGGAACATATTATGCTAACATGAATCTAGACTGACTTAAAAAATAGATGTCTGAAGCAAGTCTTTTAATTCACAGCAAGGCTGTGGCTCACCACTGGAAGTGTAACTGTTGTAATCTGGCTAGAGAGGAAAGTCCATTACATTTTAATTTTTTTATGACTTCATTCAGCCTGGAGCAGGGTGAAGTGGATAAAAGAGAGAGTTGTCGTCTTAGAAAAATTGCTGATTTCAGATCAGAAGAAGGAAATCAACATCAAGAGCCTGGGACATTCTGTTGGGCCAAAACAAAATAAACAAAACAAGAAAGCTGAGACTATTGACTATGTTGACAGGAATAAGGGGCCATCTGAAAATGCTCCCATTGGCCTAAAGTGGGGGAATTTGGACATTAAAAAAAATTAACTGCAACAGACTAGGAGTGGTGGCTCACACCTGTAATCCCAGCACTTTGGGAGGCTGAAGCAGGTGGATTGCTTGAGGCCAGGAGTTCAAGACCAGCCTGGCCAACATGCTGAAACTGCGTCTCTACTGAAAAATAAATATGAAAATTAGCCAGGTGTGATGGCACGTGCCTGTAGTCCCACTTACTTGGGAGGCTGAGGCAGGAGAATTGCTTGAACCTAGGAGGTGGAGGTTGCAGTGAGCCAAGATTGCGCCCCTGCACTCTAGCCTGGGTGACAGAGTGAGACTCTGTCAAAAACAAAAAACAAACAAACAAACAAAAAACAAAAACAATTAAGTGCAACGGATTGAAATACATGAAGTATATTTTAAAAATCTATGAGTATGAGTTCATAATGATGTTTTTAAAATCCCATGAAATAATGAGTCTCAACATTGATCTGCAATAGATATTAAGTTTACTCAATGAAATGCTGATGAGAAATTTCGTATTGGAGGGGTCAGGCTGACACCATCACTAGAAGTGGGAAAACTTGACTTTATGGGCTGCGTGTTGTAACGCAATTGGTTACAACACACAGCATATAACCTAAAACATAAACCTGAATGCACTCAAGCCTCTAAATCTGTCAATTTACAGCATGTGTTGGGGATAAAGTAACAAGCTAAATGACAATAGAAGGAAGCAATCAGACAAATGTAGGATTCAGAACATTCTGCCAATGACCTGGGTTCTCCAAGGAATCCATGACACTTCAGAGACGTAAAACCAGACCCAATGAGTGGACTGTGTTTGGATATAACTGTGAAAAAATATCTTTCAAACCATTTGAATGTGGGCTGGATATTAAATGATATTAAAGAATTATTTGTAATTTTATTAGGTCTGGTCATCATGGCCTTGCTTTAAAAAGGGAGGCCTAATTAATTAGAATATATCATACTGAAGTATTTGTGGGTGACATGGCACATTGCCTGCTATTTTATTTAAAATACTTTTTTATTAATAAAAGTGAATGCAGATGGAGAAAACAAGAGTGTCAAAATTAAAGCCACCAAAATGTAGTCACTGTGACAAAGGACATTACCCATGAGCCACGTCGGGCCTTCTGATCCTTGTGCCTCTGGGGGCATCCTTGGTCAGCTTTCAGTGGCTTTCTTACTTTATTAGTTTCAAAAGACCTTCCTAAATCCATCCACTTGTTCTTTTAGTTTTTTACTGCCTCATTTTTCCTACTGTACAAGTTGGTGTCAACGAAGTGGTATTTGCTAGAATGACCATGGCTCTGGGAAACATGGTTTGGGAAGAGAAAGGATAAAAGGGTGGGGGGTGAGGAACCTTCGATTCCTTGGTGGCCACGTGCTCAGCCGTGTGTGGAGCCACAGTTGTGCTGTGCTCAGTTACTAAAAGTGAAAGTTATCAGTGGTACTGAGAGATGGCTCCAGCTCCCTGGGAGCTGGTTCACTGGATGTGTAAGGAAATGCAAACTAGGGTAAAATGTTCAATTCCTTGGTTATTGTTCTATGTAACAGCTAAAATGAAACTAAAAGGCAGTGCTGGCTCAGACCTTGATGCTAGACCAAGCTCAGATTTCAGTGGGTCTGAGTTTCAGCCACTGGCCTGAAAGCCACCCTCAAGGGAAAAATTATGCAGGAACAACGTGAAGTATCTCTAAGATCTCTGGTCACCAGCAGGTAGTCCATGTGGGGAGAGGGCCAAACCAGAAGACCACTGAAACCAGAGGTGCCGTGTGAAGGAACTGTTCATTTTGTAGATCAGTATCATCAGCTTCCTGAGGAGTCTTTAGTAAAAATGGGTTATGACAGCAACAAATATAGGATGAATATCTTTGGTTTGGAATGCTGCAGAGTGGAAGAGCGTGTTTGGGTTCATGCAGTACCCACAGCTTGCTATGGAACAATCACAGGTGGCTCTAAGTGATCAGACACACAGAAGGTTATTCTCAAGGGAACAGCCAGCCTGGTGGACTGGTTACAGTCACTGTAAGATTTGTGTATCCTGAGAAGAGGGACTGTTGTCTCCTCCTATGACTGAAGTGGAGCACCCCAGATGAAGCGGCGGACATGCTTTGCGTGCAAGCCATATGGGACTGTCTTTTTGATGACCGCGATATTCACCTGTTAAACATGCCTGTTACCCATGTATAGCAATATATATATAATAGAGACAGAGAGAGAGAGAGAGAGATGGAGTCTCACTCCGTCGCCCAGGCTGGAATACAGTGGCATGATCTTGGCTCACTGCAACATCCACATCCCGGGTTCAGGCAATTCTCATGCCTCAGCCTCCTGACTAGCTGGGATTACAGGCGCCTGCCGCCACGCCCAACTAATTTTTGTATTTTTAGTAGAGACAGGGTTTCACCATGCTGGCCAGGCTGGTCTTGAACTCCTGACCTCAGGTGATCCACCCTCCTCGGCCTTCCAAAGTGCTGGGATTACAGGCATGCGCCACTGCGCCCTGCCGTAAAGCAGTATTAATTGGGCATGCTAAATGGGAACCAGTGAGACCGTCTGAGCCCACAGGGGAGAGTTGAAGCTGGAGTCTTGGTATGGCCAGATTCTCTCTGTGTTAGGTCTGTGTGGTGTGTGCACTGGAGCTTACATCAAAGCCTGTGAGCACCTCCCAGCGACAACTACTGGGACTCTAGACTGGAGAATTCTCATTTAAAGGGTATTTACTAACTTGGTCTCAGACATTAGTGGAAACTACTCTTATGACTGAAGGACATAAAATGATCTTAAAACATGAAATACCCCTGATGTCTTGGGTGATATCAGAGAAATGCTCTAATGGGAATGGCAGTACCCTAGAAGAGTCCTGTAATAAAATGGAAGTGGTTTATTCAGGATCATGCTGCCTAGGGAATACAAGGAGGCGATATGAGCAGGGAGCCCATTTTCCTCTAGGACTGAATCTGGAGCTATGTGAGGAGCTTCTGGATTCTATCGTCAGTTGAACAGAGCCCTGTCAACCTCTCTCAACTGACCGACGAAGAGTTGCTTGGTTTGTGGGTGGCAGTTCCAAGGTGAAGAGACACACAGTCCTGTTGGAAGGGCTACTTTGATCAAAGCAGGCTAAAACAAATCAACTTGGTGGGCTGAAATGCATGCTGTTACCTAACAGTGATGGAAGAATTGAAGGGTTGTAGAAGCGCCTGTGTTTGGGGTTTTATTGACTTTTGGGCAGCGACCAGTGGCCTGGCCATACACTCAGCAAGAGGGCCATGGAAACCTGGCTATTAAAAGGACTCCCCCATGGAGCACAGCCCTGTGGAAATCTGAGGGTGCATTAAAGTAAAACAAGTCAATGCTCATCAGAACTCCCTTCCAGATTCCAAAGGTGACTGGAGTCAACAAGCAGTTATCCCTGTGTCCTCCCCTGATGTGGGCAGCTGGGTCCATGAAATAAGTGGGTAGCTGCAGCAGTGCAGAGATGGGCTGAATCTAGACATGTTCTGTATAGACGCTGACTGGTCTGGGCTTTGCTTACCCGGTGGAGGATGCAAATGCTCACTGTGCCATTCAAAAGCCAGAACAGAAGATATTGCACCAATTTGGATGGCCCAGTCACATTTCTTTAGACCAAGGAACACACTTTACAGCCTGTAATATCCAACAATGGGCAGAGCTAGTCTCCTCCGGGTAATAGTTTGATAGAAAAGTAGAACAGGCAATTCAAACATTAGTTGTCCTAAACGGGGGGAGATGAAGACACGAAGGGCTGGCTTGCACATCTTCACAAGTGTAGTGCACACTCACCATGAGTGGGGCTAAAGGCGTGTTCCCCTAACACTTTCCTCCGTTTCCTGGTGGATCTGGGGTAGAGGGGTGGGAGGATGCTGGTATGACTATGCAGTTCTTGCCAAGGGAGAAGTACCCAGGCATAATGACTGCAATTTTTTTTCCTTCCCTCTCCACATCACGTTAACTTTTTTTCCCCTACCTGATGCAGGGGTCATAGGCCCAGGGCTGCAATTATAAATGCTGACAGCAGGGATGATTCCTAAGCAGGAAATTGTCACTATGTTTTTAAAACTTGTGTCAGAATTCCCAAGGGCCTGATGGGGATGGGTTGTGCCTTCACCCCATCTGGCAAACTGGGGTTGACACAGAATGAAGCTATCTTGTTTGGTGGTAAGTATAGCCCACGGCTTTGTACCCTGTCTGAACGGAGTGGACCCAGGGAGGGGCACCTGCTAGACCAGTAATGCTCCCAGCAATCTAGACCAGCACAGTGTCTGATCTGAGTGTCCCTTCCAAGGGTGGAAACGTTTGGGTCTAAACAAAGAGAAGGAGAAATCATAGCTGAGGGTAAAGGAGTGAATAAAACGCTCCTGTAATGAGGGAAGTCTCATATTATATTAACACTGAAAATGCTCCAGAGCAAGAGATATCATTGCCTCTTAGCTCAATTATCCCAGATGCCCAGAAGGGTAAAGCTATGTGTTTGCCGAGGCCACTCCTGCTTTTGAAGCCCTACAGGACAGGGTGGAAGCCTGCAAATCTGAGTAGCCCCACCCTGGGAGACATTTCCATAAGATATGATGATGGACTGGACTAACTATTAATGAATGAGTGGGATTCTAGTCATGTGACAGTATCTTTTGAGTTGTATATCATTTTGCTGTAAGAGATTGGTGGCCAGAGACAGGGGGCGGACTGTGATACTGTACTATAGTAAGAAATATCTATTGGTCTCTGCCCCGAGTTCCTGGCACAGACCTCCCAAAAACCCTTGTAATTTCCTGGGCAATAGGGGTGCTAGGTGCATCTTTTATTCTGATGTTTGGTCTTTGACTCTGGTTCCTGACACAAAACTCCTAACCCCTGGCATTTCCTGGGTGGCAGGAGCGTCTTTTTTTCCTGGTGGACTCCTGCATGGGGGCTGGTCACCAGAAAGACCAAGCCATCTCCTCTGGGAAGAGAAGAGGGGCTGGAAATGGAGTTAATAATCAATGACACGTATGTGATGAAGCTGCCATAAAAATCCCTGAACTGCAGGGTGTGGAGAGCTTCTGGGTTGTTGGACATGGGGGAGTGCCTGGAGGGAGGGAAGGTTCCCTCTGTGCCCCATCCTCATGCTCTACCCTGTGCATCTCTCCATCTGGTGCTCATCTGTATCCTTTACAATATCCTTGATATTAGTAGTAAACTGGTAAATGTAAGTAAACTGTTCCCCGGAGTTCCATGAGATGCTTTAGCAAATGAATCAAACCTGAGGCGGAAGTCATGGGAACTCCTGATTTATAGCTGATTCATTGGAAGTTCTGGAGGTCCAGCCTTGCAATTGGCATCATACAGGCAGTTTTGTGGGACTGGGCCCTTAACTTGTGGATGGCAACTCCCAGTAGATACTGTCAGAATTGATGTGTGGGGAAAAACCCGGACATCTGGTCACAGAAGTGTTCTGTGCTGTGCTGAGAGCATAGGAGGGGAAATCAGTTTGCTTGTGTTTTCCTGCCACGTAACAGAGCCTCTTCTGGGAGAACCTAGGATTCTCTTCTTTCAAGCCTGATGGACACAAAGGACTTCATCTCCCTGGGTCCTTCCTTCTACACAGGATTTTCTTTTTAAGGCTTTTAAGCACAATCACCATGGAAAAAAAGGACAGAAGGTTACTGTTGGGTTCCCCCAAAATATATGTTGAAGTCCTAACCCCCAGCACTTCAGAGGTGACCCTGTTTGGAGACAGGGCTGTTACAGATGTAATTACTTGAGGTCCTGCTGGGGTAGGTGGGCCACTGGTCCGATGTGCCTGGTGTCCTTACAAGAAGAGAAGAGACATATGCACATGGCTGTGGAGATGCAGGCAGAGGCTGGAGCGCTGCAGCTGTGAGCTAGGGAACACCAGGGATCCACGTCCACCCCAGGAGCTGGGAGAGTCAAGGAAGCGTTCTCCCTTACAGATTTCAGAGGCGGCATGGCCCTGCTGACACCTTGGTACCAGACTTCTGGCCTCTAGAACCATGGGAGAATAAATTTCTGTTGGTTTCAGCCACCCAGTTTGCGGTCCTTTGTCACCACAGCCCTAGAAGCCAACACAACTATGGCAGGGGGTTCCAGAATCTAGTAGTAATTCTGTGATGTGCTTCACGGCAAGGTGGGGAGCATCTTTGCTGATCGGCTTCTCACTGAAATCTCCAGGCCCTCATAGTCTCACTCCTGTATTCCTAGGGACAAAGCATGCTATAGTCTGAATTTTGGTGTCCCTTGCCAAATTCATATGTTGGAAACTGATGCCCAATGTGATAGTATTAAGAGGTGGGGCCTCTGGGAAGTGATTAAGTCACAAGGACCCCACCCTCGTGAATGGGATTAGCGCCCTTATAAAGAGACTTGAGTGAGCTTCCTCGCCCTTGCTGCCATGTGAGAAGGCAGCAACAGGACACCATCTATGAAACCTCACAAGACCCTTAATCTGCTGGCATCTTGACCTTGGACTTTTGAGCCTTCTGAACTGCGAGCAATACATTTCTGTTGTTTATGAATTGGTCAGTTTAAGGTATTTTGTTACAGCAGCTCAAACGGATTAAGACAGAGCCCAACCAAACACCCGCTCCTTGGATCGCTCCCCTCCTTCCTTTTGTTGCCTCTCCCCTCATTAAGGAACGGGAAGGGAGAGATGAGGGATAAACAAGCGTGGTGACGGATTGGTCCTAGACTGATGCGGATGACGTATGCATCAGAGATTTCCTGGGCCTTGCTCTGACTTTGGTCTTCCAGCAGTGCGCAGGCCTGCTCTGCCCCGCTCTGCCCCGCTCTGCTGGCCTCAGCCTTCCTCATTCATCATTGTTCACCTCACTCCCATCCACCTTCTTCCCTTTTTCCCAAACCTATCCTGATGAGAAGTTTGAATTCTGTTTTAAGGAAAGACCTTCCAATGCAGTGTGGAGTGAGGGCCATTCCCACATACATACACACTCCATACTCTTTTGAAGCGATTTTGTGAATTACAAAACCACCATAATTTTCAGGAGTAGTGGCATGTCTTAGTAGGAAATGTTGAATGGAATCACAAAAAGCTTGAGAATAAGAAAAATAAAAAGATAGGATGTGCTGACATTTTTGAAAGCCCTAAAATAATTTGGTGCCCATAGTGGGAACCTTGTCATACTTATTTACATAGTATGGAAGGCTATTTGACAAAAAAATCAAATGAGGTATAGGAATAGTAACTCATTATAAATTGGGGACAATAAAGCCAAATTCCACTGGATTTTAAAGTTATACAAATGATTCTCTAGTCCCTAAATTAGGGATATAAAAGTCCGTAGGCAGCTTTGGGGCTGAAAGGGGTTCTGTAAGCATCTTGCTGTATAATGGAGCAAGTCCTGACCCAGAAAAGAATCTGTACTTTGTCCCAGATGGGCTATAACTTGCTCTGTGACTGCCATCATGTGTGTTCTGGCAGAGATTCATAGGCAGGCAGAGGAGTGGGGAAGCTTCATAGCAGAAAAGGGAAGGTGTCAGGTGTGTGCTGACTGGAGGCTGCTGGCCGGGGAAGCTGGAACGAAGTGGGCTATCCAGAGGTGGTGTATCCATCCTCTGTAGTTGGTTAGGGCACTTAGTTCACTCTCTCCAGTTGGGGTTGATTGTAGAGTTCTAACTTTTTACGTGGTCTGGCCATTGTCCATGTGTATATTCAGTCTCTCCCAAGCTAGTCATCTGGTAAGTGACCAATAAGCTTTAGTTACTCAATACAAAGAAACCAAACCAGCATTAGATGGGGAGGAGAGTTCCATCTAGAGATCTAACACTGTGATAGTGGAAGCAGTCCCAAAGAATGATAGCCTATGATACCATGCTTGGGGGTGTGGCCTTCCGGTCTCATCAGAAAAAGTACAGAGCTCAGAGCAGAATCACATGGAAGCAGCTCTCCCCTAGACTCTCCTAGATGTTAGGTCTCTGAGATCATAGTAATGCAGTCAGCAATGAAACCTACCTGGTTAATTAGAGAAACACAGCTCCATCAATGTAAGAGAGAAGTCTGGTAAGCCTTCTTATGGAAAATTCTTTACCTATTTTCCCTTCAAATATTGTTTCTGCTCCATTCTCTCAACTTTCTCTCAACTGGAATCTTTCCATAAATAAGTTGGAGCTTTTCATTCTTTTCTCCATTTCTTTTCACTTTTTGTCTATATTTTCTATCTCTTTAGTTCTCTGGGTCAAAGTCTATTTTGTGTTCTCAGATGTAGTTTCGGCTCACTAGTTTTCCCTTCTGTTGCGTTTGGCTTACAGTCTAACTTGTCTGTGGCATTTTATTTTAATGGCTGAATTTGTACTTATGGTGTTTTTTCAGTCAATCTCCTTGTTCTTTTTAAATGTGATTTTGCATTCTTATATTACACATTAAATACTTCCTTTATATGTTCAAACTTTGAAAACAGACCCACTTAAAATATTTTTCACATTCCCTTATTTTTCTGTTCCTGGGAGTGAGTTACCCCCAACTCTTAGCTTTATTTGGGGAAGTCAGTTTCAGCTTCTCATCACATACAGGCTTGAGGCCACAAATTCTGTTTCTCCTTGAGTACTAAACTCCAGTGCCAAGGGATTCACTGCACCCCATGGACTCAAATCATGTTGAAACTCAAGAGCCACCTCTCTGATTTCAGTTTCCTTCTATGACTTTATGACTCTATGACTCTATGACTCTAGCACCTTTCTTGCTTTTGAGCTCTCTTTCCCACAATGGTTCTATTCAGCATTTATCTGTGGGAGGAGCAGCCAGGTCTGCTCAGTCTCACATGTTAACCAGTGTCAATGAGTATTTGTAATGCACCTACTGTATGCCCACTGGGGCTAGGCACTGAGGATACAGAAATAAACAAGGCATGGGCTTTTCCCTCAAGAAATTTATAGTCCAAAGGACCAGACAGCAAATGAACCAACATTTATAATAAAATGCAAGATGTGTGATGGTACAAGTACTGCAGGTTTTATGGAAGTCCAGGGGGGGCATCTGACTCAGGCTTAAGGGGAAGTAAGGGGAGGTCAGCAAAGAAAATGCATGTTCTTCTAAGCAAAGATCTTATTGGAACAAATGAATGAGAAAGGGCATTTTTGTGGGGAAAGCATTTTGGCTTTATTTTCTTTTTAAATCTGTGTGTAGGCCCTAAACCCACAGTCGTACACGGACATCCTTGCCTCCCTACTTCTCATAGTATGAGGCTTTCGTGACTTGCGTGTTTCCTTTCGGCACCAAAGGTATCATCTGATGAATCATTTATTCAGCAAACATCATGCAAACAGTTATTAAGGTCACTTCCCAAAAGGTTAATTTTACTGCTTGGATATAGGTTATAACCTGGAAGACTTTGAATCATTGCCAACTGCCATTGTAAATATTTATGAGAAGTTTGTTCCCAATGTCTTAGGAAGCTTTATTCTGTTGTTTTTGTTTTTCTGTATACATTAACATGGATAAAGAAATATCCATGTTATGTGCCATCCACATATTTTTGGTAAGGTATAAAAATTAGGCTGGGCATGGCAGGTCATGCCTGGGCAACACAGTGAGACCCTGTCTTTACAAAAATAAAAAAAAATTAGCTGGGCATGGTGACTCACATCTGTAGTCCCAACTATTTGGGAGGCTGAGGTGGGAGGATTGCTTGACCCCAGGAGGTCGAGGCTGCAGTGAGCTCTTGACTGCACCATTGCACTCCAGCCTGGGTGACAGAGTGAGACCCTGTCCCAAAAAATAAAATAAAATAACAAAATGAAATAAAAATTGTTTTTTTTTATATTGAGGATAAAGGATCTGGAATGAAAGAAATATACTGAACTATCTGTAGGACCATAAGATGTTTAAGCTGGATGTTACCTTGTTGAAAATGAGGTAAATCTAGGTGAAAACAGGGTTTCTTACCCTCAGTACAATTGAAATTTTGGGTCAGATAATTCTTTGTTGTTGAGGGGTTTTTCTGTGTATTGTAGGATGTTGAGCAGCGTCTCTGGTCTTTATTGACTAGGTGCCCATAGTCATGACATGCTGCATGTCCCCAGATGAGAACGCCTGGTCCAGATTCTTTATTCTAGAGCTAAGAAATGAAGGCTCAGAAAGGGAGGGTGATATGGCTTAGACAGCCAGTGAGAATCAGAATTTGGACCAGCACCTCTGGGTTGCTGACTTTATAAGGCTCTTCTCACAAAAATGAACTGCAACAAAACCTGCTGGCTAATATTAGCCTCTCAATCCCATTTGCATCAGAGCCCTGGGCTCAGACCCTCAGAATAATGTAGCTTCTATTGAAATACTCAAATTTGGCAAGCTTGTCCTGTTTGAGTTGTCTCCAATTCACTTAAGAACCAGGATTTTTGTGAAATTTCAATGACAGTCATTGAGTTGATTCTGAGTGACCAAAATGTTCCTTCCAAACTCACACTCTTTTTCAACAAGTGTCTGTTTCTCTTTCCGTCTGCTTGTGAAAAAACAAATCCTTTGAGCCAGTCCCAGAGGATTATTTTATACTTGATCATTTTCCATGGTACTAATGATTGAGTGACTGCATGCATGCTTGCCAAACAGTAAATAAATCCGTACATAGCTTTTGTTCATTGGATAATCGGGTGTAATATATGCAAAGTTAAAGTTCACTTCATGAAAACACCCGGTTTTATTTGAGGTTTTTTCTTCTGGTCAGTGAACCCAAAGGCCTAGGGAAAAAAATCAATTCACATTTTTGAAACACTGTGGTCCTGCCATTTGCCTCTCATTCATCATGTTGACAAACAAGTGTAAGGGAAAACAGAGGGTGAATGAGACCAGGCTCCAGAATGTTCTTCTTCGGGGAGCGTACCGTTGCGGGCGCAGCCCTCTCTGGTTGGCAAGAGGCTCCCTCACCTCCAGGTTGCCCAGGGTCATTTGGCAGGCCTGTGTTGGATTCTGACACTTTGCAGAGCTGTTGTCACTGAGACCAGCGGCTTGTGGTTGGGAAAGACCACCCGAGCCAGCGAGTGATCAGTGACATTCAAGCTAAGCTCAATTTATGTCAGTATGCCAGTGACGAAATTCACAACTTGATTCTCCCTCAGGGCTGCCGAGTGTCTGACGGGACAAATCCTTCCAACGGCCGCAGCAGGTGCTTCTTCTAGCCCTGTGTTGCAATGACCTGCAGCTCCTGGGGATAACTCAGGCACGCTGCTGACGCCATCAGGAGGCTCAACACCCTCACCCGCTTACGCTACGACCAGCAAAAGCAAACCCCGCAGCTGCCTGCCAGCCGGGAAGAAGGACTGTGTTTCCATGTTGTGAGTCTCCTCATTGCAGCCAGATGATGAATTTGCTGCTGGCTTTGTGCGAAACCGAGAAATACCCAGCGTCCAGCTGAGGGCCCGGGTGGCAACAAAATCAAGCTGATGAATTAAAGAAATATGGCCTGGTCAGGATGCCTGGAGGCCTCAGAGTTCTGATCTTTCTTCTGAGTTACTACATCTTCTGAACTGCTCCCAGGATGGTGTTTGTGATAAGTTGGTTTGCCCAGTAAAACTGTCGCCCAGTGGAGGCAAGCCCTACCTCCTGTCCTTTCTCATGCAGTGGTGTGGAGCGTGGTGGGGAAGAAAGGGCGTTCGACAGCAAGTCAAAAACTTTGGATTTCATTTGTGGCTGTGACACTGGGTTGGGGTCAGTGGCTCAGTGTTGGGAGGGTCTCATTTCTCTCCAACTCCATAGGGCTGTGAGATCACCCACAGCTTTGATTTGCATGTCCAAGCTCATCCCAGCACTTTCTCCTCAGAATCTGGCTAACATTTCAAGTCACTCACTAGCTTCCAGAACTATGGTTAGCTCAGACTCAGTTGTAGCTTCCCCAAACTGTCATCCTACTGTTTTTATCTTACAGCTGAAGGAACTGAATCCCAAACAGCCCGAGCAACCCATTCAGAATCACACCACAGATTTCCTCACCCCTCTTCCACACCACAGAGCCTTCCCATTTTTACATGTCTTTTATATTAAGACAAAACCAAAAACTCATAATTAAGTCAGTAGTGTAGAAACCTGAAAGATATTTTGTTATAAAAGGTTCACTGTAAACCAGGATTTAGAAAATGCAAACCCTTGGGTAAAATGAAGTGTTTTCAGGACACTCACCAGCAGGATCCCTGGCCCCAATTCTGAGAATGTGACCATAAGGACAAGAGGCCTGACTGGTCACCCCAGGCCAGGCCACCTCTCTGACAGTCTGGGATTCTCCCTGCATGCCCCAGATCCATCCTAATGATGAAGCTCAGGTGCTGAGAGCAACTGATCAGATGTTGGCAGGATCATCTAAATCCATAGGCAGCCAAGCAGCCACTCTACTTTGCCTGGCAGAGCTGCAGCAGGCACCTGCAGACACCACCCAAGAGACAGTTCTGCAGTGGCTGAAATGTCTGGAATCTGTACTCCTGGAGCAGTGGCGAGTGGGCACAGGTGGCTATGGAGACTTAGAATGGGGCTAGTGCAAGTGGGAAACTGCATTTGCAGTTTTATGTCATTCTAACTGGTTTAAAGTTTATGCAGCCACATGTGGTTAGCGACTAAGGCACTGGACAACACAGTTAGAAAAGTCCCTCTCCTGGGCACTGCCAGCTGCAGGCACATTCCTAACCTAAGATGTCCTGCTTGTTCCTCTGGGTGTGTGGGCTGCAGTCTCAGTGTCTGCTCGCGCATGTGGACACACCTGCCTTTGCCAGCACATAACTCACCCACCCGTTCGCACACACATACACATGCACCCAATTCACCTTGACTTTGAGTGTCCATGTCTTTTCTTGGCCCCACCTGCAGTCTTGATGCCCCAGGTAGGAATCTTGGCATGTTGAGGGAGGGGCCTGTGGGAAGCAAACTGCATTCTCGTCCTTACTCCGTGATCGTCAAGGATTCACCCCTGCCATCTTCTCCCCCTGACCTCAGCGAGAGCACTGTTCAGCAGTTTGCCTAACCGAGAATCCACAGCTTCTCGTCCCTGTCTGGCTCCCTGTCTCGGAAGCAATGTTCTCGCGTCTTCCTCCAGACAGGCAGCTGCTGGCATCTTCACAGCTCCCTCTCTCCGCGGCTGAAGTCAGGACCCACAGATGGTGCCGCTCGTTTTCCTCAGCAGCTCTGCTTACCGCATTTACAGGGGTGGCAGAAGCCAGTGCGAATGAATATTAAATCAACTAAGGCAGAACTTCTCAAAATACACTCCTCAAAACAGGTTTTTTCTTTTTTCTTTTTTTTTTTAACCCCACAAACTGAGTCCATTTTGGCTTCAGCGAAAACCACACTCTCACCTTCCTTTCTGTGAATTACCAGGAAATAGTTCAATTTTACTTTTTTTTTTTTTTCTGTCAAACATTTTCTTCCTAAACTTTTTGGCTGCTACCTGTTTTCAAGCAGACGGCTAATCCGGTAGCAAATGAACTGGGTTTTTCTTAGGCTTGACATATCTCTGTCAACAGCCTTTTTCTTTTTTTTAAACTAAGCCCAGATTTTTGTGCAAAACCGAGAAATACCCAGTGTCCAACTGAGGGCCCGGGTGGCAACAAAATCAAGCCGATGAATTAAAGAAATATTGCCTGGTCAGGATGCCTGGAGGCCTCAGAGTTCTGATCTTTCTTCTGAATGACTACATCTTCTGGACTGCTCCCAGGATGGTGTTTGTGATAGGTTGGTTTGCCCAGTAAAACTGTCACCCAATGAAGGCAAGCCCTACCTCCTGTCCTTTCTCATGCAGTGGTGTGGAGCGTGGTAGGGAAGAAAGGGCATTCGACAGCAAGTCGAAAACTCTGGATTTCATTTGTGGCTCTTACACCCCTTTTTGAAAGGAGTTTTGAAGCAAGCTTGCATGCGGTTACACCTGAACTCTCAGTTAAGAGCAATTCCATCTTCCAGTTGCTTGGGCCAAAAACTTCCATATCAGTCTTAACTCGTATTTCTCTCATACACATATGCAGTCTGGCAGCTCCACCTCCACCAAATATGGAAATCTGGATGCCATTCCTACCTCCCCTGCCAACCCCCTGGTCCAAGCGACCATGGCCTCTCAGCTGGGTGAATGCAAGAGACCCTTCTCTGATCTCCTTGTATCACCCTTGAGCTTTTAAAATCTATTTCCCACCCAGAAGCCTAAGAACCCCATTCCTCCTCTGTGGTTCTCCTCCTCACTCAGGAATAAGCCCTGCACGATCTAGAGCCCCTTCCTGGCCTCTCCCTGCACAGGCATCCTGCCCTCGCTTCCCCTTCCCCCTTCCCCGTTCCTCACCCCTCCCCCGCCTCTTTCCTGTCGTCCAGCACACCCTGCTCCACCTCCGTGGGCACTTGCTGTTTCCTCTGCCAGAACACTTTGTTCCCAGTATCTTCACAACCCAATCCCTCACTTCCTCCATATTCTGGCCTTCCTAAGCATTTTATCTGAAGTTCCAGCATCCTCTTGCCCCAACACGTAATACAGACACACATTCCTGGCTTTAGTGTTCCTTGCTAACATTTCGCTCTTGAAAGCATATCTTAGGCAGTTACTCTGTTTATTTTCAATCTCCCGCGTAAGAACGTAGCTTCCTGAGGGCAGGAATTTGGGTCTCTTTTGTTCACTGCTGTGACCTCGTTGTCCAGAGGAGTGTCTAGCCCTCCGTAGGCACTCGGGAAAAGTTAAGTGACTTCATGAGGGCGTCTTCTCCACAGCAGTACCCACATTCTGTATTGTGGTGTCAACACTGGCTTACTTTGAAATGACTGGCCTCTAATGTAGAGATAACCCAACCCTCAACACAGTCACTGCCCGACTCTTCAAAAGCCCTATAACCATTGAGGTAGGTTATTAAACTTAGTATCATAGGCTTTTTAAAAAAACAACAACAAGGATTTTTGAGGTATAACTGGTGTACAATAAACTGCATACCATTTAAGTGTAAAGTTTGGTAAACATTGATGTGTATGCATCATTACCACATGAAATATAATGAATATGCCCATTATCTCCTCCAATTTCCCCATGCCCTTTGTAATTCCTTCCTCTTGCCCCCTACCCTTTTCTACACAACTATTGATTTGTTCTCTGTCACTATAGATTCGCTTGCATTTTCTAGAGTTGTAAGTAGATGAAATCATGCATTACGTACTTTTCCCCTAGCTTCATTTGCTCAGCATGGTTATTTTGAGAATCATCGATGTCATTGTGTGCATCAGAATCCATTTCTTTTTACTGCTCAGTAGCATTCCACATTTATCCACTCATCTGTTGATAGGCATTTGGGTTAGTTCCAGTTTGGAGCTATTACTAGTCAAGCTGCTATAAACATTAGTGTACAAGTCTTTGCATGGGCATCTGCTTTCATTTCTTTGTGTAAATACTTGGGAGTGAAAATGGTTGAGTCATATGATGGGTACATGTTTAGCTTTTAAAGAAACTGCCAAACTGTTTTTAAAAATGGTCATAACATTTTGCACTCCTGCCAATAGCGAATGAGAGTTCCTATTCCTCCACATCCTTGCCAACACTTGGTATGGTTGGTCTCTTTAATTTTAGTCATTCAAGTGGCTATGTAGTATTCTCTCACTGTGCTTTTTATTTGCATTTCTCTGATGATGAACAACTTTTTAAGGTATAATTGCCATGTATTAAATTACACATGATTACAATATACAATTTAATCTTGTACATCTTTTTGTTTACTTGCCATCCGTATATCTTCTTTCATAAAGTATGTGTTCAAACCTTTTGTCCATCTTTTATTGTTCATTTTTTACTGTTGAGTTTTGAAAGTTCTACGTATATTCTGGATGCAAGATTGTATCCCAAGATTGTAAAGATTTCTCTTATGATTTCTACTATAAGTTTTATAGTATTCAGTTTTGGTCACGTATATATTTATATTCTCTATGATGTACATGCATTAAATTTATGACTCACTTTGTGCTAATTTTTATATCTGATGTGAGGTAAGTATAAAGTTAACTTTTTGGCATATGAGTATATCCTGTTTTTTAGCAGTATTTGTTGAAAAGGCTATGCTTTCTCCACTGAAATGCCTTTGCACTTTTGTCCAAATTATTTGTCCATATATATGGATCTATTTCGGGACTCTGTTTTCTTGCGTTGATCTATTTGGCTATCTTTATACTAACACCATACTGATTTGATTACTGTAGCTTTACAATAATTCTTGAAACCAAGCTGTGATGGCACTCCAACAAAGTTGTTTTGTCTATTTTAGCTCCTTTGCATTTCTTTCTTTCTTTCTTTCTTTTTTTTTTTTTTTTGAGACAGAGTCTCATCCTGTTGCCCAGGCTAGAGTGCAGTGGCATGATCTAGGCTCACTGCAAGCTCCGCCTTCCGGGTTCACGCCATTCTCCTGCCTCAGCCTCACAAGTAGCTGGGACTACAGACGCCCACCACCACGCCCAGCTAATTTTTTGTATTTTTAGTAGAGACAGGGTTTCACTGTGTTAGCCAGGATGGTCTCGATCTCCTGACCTTGTGATCCACCTACCTTGGCCTCCCAAAGTGCTGTGATTACAGGCATGAGCCACCGTGCCTGGCCAGGTCCTTTGCATTTCTATATGAATTTTAGAATTGGCTTGTAGAATTAAATTCTAGAAAAAAAGACTTCTGGAATTTTGACATAGATTGTGTAGAATCTATAGAACAATTTAGTGAGTTAACATTTTAACAACACTGAGTCTTCTGTATGACATATCTTCCTGTTTATTAGGTCTTCTTAATTTTTCTTGTTCATCTTCTGTAGGTATTCAATGTAGAGGCCTTGGATATCTTTTGTAAATATTTTCCACTAAGAATTTATTATTTTTGGTGCTATTTAATTTCAATTGCCAACTGTTGCCAGTATATAAATAAACAATTTTTGCATATTTATTCTGTATCCTACAACCATAATAAATTATTAGTTTTAGTAGTTTCTGTTGCTGTTGTTGATGTCAGATGCCATCAGATAATTCTAAGTAGATAATTAAGTCGTCTGAAAATAAAGAAAAATTAGTTTTCCCTTTCCAGTCTAGATATTTTTTCTTTTTCTCGCCTGAGTGAGCTGTATATCCTCCAGTACAATTTTAAATAGAAGTGCAGAGAGTGAACGTCTTGTTCTGTTACCAATCTTAAGGGAAAACAATTAGTTTTTCACGATTAATTATAATGATAACCATAGGTTACTCATAGATCCTTATTATCAGATTGAGGAAGTTCTAATCTTAGTTTGCTGAGAGTTTTTTTTTAAATCACAGATGTTGGATTTTGTTGAATGATTTTCTGCATCTATCAAGATTATCATATGGTGTTTCAATTTTAATTTGTTAACATGATAAATTTTATTGATTAATTTTTAAATATTAAATCAACCATGCACTCCTTGAAGAAATCCCACTTGGTTGTGATGTATTTTCTGTTTGAAAATTTTTTTGACTTAGTTATTAATATTTTGTTTAGAATTTTTGCATCTATTTTCAAAAGGAACATTGGTCTATAGTTTTCTTTTCTTGTAATATCATTGTATGATTTTGGTGTTAAAGCAATGTTAGTCGCTTAGAATAGTTTGGGAAGTACTCCTTCCTCTTCAAGTTCCTGGAAAGGTTTATGCAGAATTGAAATTATTTCTTTTTAAAATAATTGGTAGAATTCATCAAATGAAGACATGTGAACCTCGGATTTTCCTGTTGAAGAGGTTTTAACTACAAATTCAATTTAATAGATACAAGGTTATTCAGGTTATCTGTTTCTTCTTAAGTGAGTTTTGGTTGCATGTGTCTTTTAGAAAATTTATCCATTTCATTTAAGTTGTTGAATTTATAGGCAGGAAGTTGTTCATATCTTCTTCTTATCTTTTTATTATCTGTAGACTCTTGTGATATCACTTCTCTCATTGCTGATATTGGTAATTTGTGCATTCTCAATTTTTTTTCCTGATCGTTCTTGCTACAGGTTTATCAATTTTATTGATCTTCTTTAAGAAACAGTTTTTGTGTTTTATTGATTGTTTATCAATTTTATTGATCTTTAAGAAACAGTTTTTTTGTTTTATTGATTGTTTTTAATGCTTTCTATTTCATTGAGTTGTACTCTGATTTTTCTTTTTTTCCCCTTTTTTGTGCTTACTTTGGGTCTAACTTTCTCTTTTTTTCTAGTTTTGAAAGGTGAGATCTGAGATTATTGATTTGAGATCCTTTCTACTTTTAACTATAGCCATTTGGTGCTCCCAGTTTCCCTCTAGGTACAGATTTAGTGTTATTCCATATAATTTGGGGTTTTATGTTGTCATTTTTATGAAATTCAAAATATTTTCTAACTTCTCTTTGCTTTCTTCATAGATTCATGGGTTATTTAGAACTGTGTTCTTTACTTTTCAGCTATTTGAAGATTTTTAAGTGATTTTTCTGTTATTGATTTATAATTTAATGGTCAGAAAACATACTTTGTATGAATTAAAGCATTTTAAATTTGTTGAGAATTATTTTATGGTCCAGAATATGACTATCTTGGTAAATATGATATATGCACTTGAAAGGCATGCGTATTCTGCTGTTGTTGGATGGAGAATTCAATAAATTCACAATTAGGTCATTTGGTTGGTATTGCTGTTCATGTCTTCTATAACCTTTAGTTTCTGTCTACTTGTTTTATCAATTATTGAAAGAGTGGCATTTAAATCTGACTATAATTGAAGATTTCTTTGTGTCTTTGTTTCTCCTTTCACATATATAAGTTTTTGCCTCATGGTTTCTGAAGTCCTGTTGTTAGGTACATAAACTTTTATGATTGTAGTACCACTTGATGAATTAACCCTTATCTTAGTGAAGTAAATTTTTTAAACTGTGTAATATTATTTGCTCTATATTTGTCTTTGTTTGATATTAATATCCACTTCAAATTTCTTTTGATTAGTGTTAGCATGTCATATCTTTTTCCATCCTTTTCATTTTAACCTGCTTGTTTCTTTATATTTAAAGTACATTTCTTATAAACGGCATTTAAATGAGTTTTGCTTTATTTATACACTCTGACAATGTTTGCCTTTTTACTTTATTAGCTTTATTTAGATCTATTAGATTTTTTATTTAGATTTATTTAGCTTTATTTAGATTTAATTAGATTTAATGTAATTATATAGTTAGATTAAAGTCTACCATTTTGATATTTGTTTTCTATTTGTTTTGCCTGTTTTTTTTCCTTTTTCCTTATGTTCTTTCTTCTTTTGAATTAATTTTTTTAATACCTCATTTAATTTGCTTTGTTGACTTATTAGATAGAGGCTTTTGCTATTTTAGTGGCTTCTTTAGGGCTGATAGTTACGTACTTCAAATGGTATATGACTTTCATATAGTACAAGTATGTATAATAGTTGAACTCTGTATTTTTCTTCTTCAGGTTTTATGCTATGTTGAAACACATTTTACTTAAACCACAGAAATCTATAAAATCCATAGTGACTTACTTTTAAAAAATGTCTTAAAAATGAAGACTTTGTTGTTAAAAAGAAATTATTTTTGCCCTTAAAATGTCAATTATGTTTAAAAAGATTTTAAAAATAGAAAAAAATTACATATTTGCCAAAATCATACCATTTCTGATGTGCTTCATTCCTTCATATAAACCACTAGTTCTCAACTGGGTATAATTTTGCCCCTCAGGGGACATTTGGCAATGTCTGGATACCTTCAGTTTTTATTGCTGTCATAACTGAGGAAGGTTACCCCTGGCATTTAGAGGGTAGAGGCCAGTGATGCTGATAAACATTCTATAGTACACAAGATAGTCCCCACAACAAAAATTATCCAGCACCAAATGTCAACAGTGCCAAGGTTGAAAATCACTGGTATAAATCCATATTTCCATTTAGTTTCAGTTTATGCTGAAAGAGCTTCTTTTTAACATTTCTTATAATGTGGCTCTGCTGGCGATGAATTCTTTCAACTTGCTGAGCATTTAGAATTTTTTCTTTTATTTTGCCTTCATTTTTGAAAGGTATTTTACTGAATATGGAATTTATTATTGACAGTTTCTTTCTTTTAGCACTTAAAAGTGTTTCATCATGACCTCCTCACTTGCATTGTTTCCAAAAAGAAATCTGCTGTCATCCTTATTCTTTGTTCCTTTGTATCTATTATCTATTATGTCTTGTTTTTTGGCACCTTTTCAGATTCATTAGTGGTTTGTGCAATTTAATTACGAAGTGCTTTGGTGTGATTTTTAAATATTTCTTGTGCTCAGGGTTAGATATGCATCTTGGATCTGTGAGTTTATACTTTTTTTAAACCAAATTTGGAAAAATTTCATCTTTTTTTAAAAATAGTTTTTCTGTTGTTCCCCTCTTCACTCTTCTTTAGGGACTCAGTTGCAAAATATACATGTATTTGGCCATTTGAAGTTGTCCCACAGTTTGATGATGATTTTGTCATTTTTTTAAAGTTCTTTTTTCTTCAAATTAATTTTGAATAGTTTCTATTGCTGTATTTTCAGTCAACTGATCTTTTCTTCTGTAATGTCTAAGTAGCTATTAATTCATATCTGGTATATTTTTCATCTAACAGTTTATAGTTTTTTTCTCTAGAAGTTTCATTTGGATCTACTTAACTTCTTGAACAACTAGAATACAATTATATAGTTATAATAACTGTTTTATGTCTTTATCTGCTAATTCAAACATTTGTATCAGTTCTGGATCAGTTTTGATTGGTTGAGTTTTCTCCTCGTTGCAGACACTTTCCTGTTTCTTTGCATGCGTGGTGAATTTTACTTTGGTGCTGAGTATTTTGATATATCTATGGATATTATAGAGCTTTGTTCTAGAAGGCAGTCAAATTACTTGGAAAAATTTGATCCTTTTGGGTCTTGCTTTAAAGAATCTTTACTTGGAACAGAGCACTGCTTCATCACAAGCTAACTATTCCACATTACTGAGAAAAGACTACTTTGTGTGCCCTATCTAATGACACATTAATCCTGATGCTTTTCTCTCTCAGTGGTGGGAAGAGGCTCTTTATCTGGTCGTGGTACTCTTCTCTAATCCTCCATGACACTTCCTTCCCCAGCCTCACATAGTTTCCTTACATGCATGTGCTTATCAACACTCTGCTAAATTCTTTAGGGGCATGTTCCACAAATCTCAGAAATCCTCTCTCCATGCAACTCTCTTCCTCTCTGGCACTTTAATCAGCAGACTCTAGGCAGCTTGGTCTCCCAGAGTATCAGCTATATTTACTTACAGGGTTCTCTTTACCTAGGGAGTTCACTGGGTGCCACCTGAATTTTCTTTTCCTCCACCATGGACTGGAAACTTTCTCATGGCAGTAAGCTGGAGTAATCATAGGGCTCATCTTGTTTATTTCCCATTTCTCAGGATTACTGTCCTTTACTGCCTAATGTCCAGTGTCTTGAAAACTACTGTGATATATTTTGTTTGGTTTTTATGATTTTTTCAGACAGGAAGATAAGTCTGGTCTCTGTTATTCCATCTTGATCAGAAGCAGAAGTTGTAATTGGATGAGTTTTTGGTTCCTTCTAACAAACATGTATGCACGTTGCTATGCTTTTACATTGCATATGTACAATGGACATTTTCTCTAAGTAAAATCGATCCTTGTTTTTGTACTGGAACTAAACAGATGACTAATTCATGGGTTTTGTTTGTTAGGTAAATCATACCTGCCAGGTACTGAAGATGCTAGAGAATTCCTACCCTTGTTTATCTACCTATCATAAATGTGCATTCACAGATCTCTTTTCCCATCAAAAGAGTGTATCTCCTTTTCAGTGGGATTCTTCTTTGCTCCTATCAAGGTTTCTCTTGGAATTTAGTTAAGCTTACTCCTTAAAATTCCAGCTTTTCCTTCCCTCAGAATTTTACAGACTGACTTCTCCTTAAGGGACCATCTCACATTTCTTTTCCAGTGTTAAAAATCTAAGCCTAAAGTTTCATGCGTGTCCGTGTGAAGAGACCACCAAACAGGCTTTGTGTGAGCAACATGGCTGTTTATTTCACCTGGGTGCAGGCAGGCTGAGTCCGAAAAGAGAGTCAGCAAACAGAAATAGGGGTGGGGCCATTTTACAGGATTTGGGTAGGTAAAGGAAAAAAGGGGGTTGTTCTCTGGTGAGCAGGAGTGGGGGTCACAAGGTACTCAGTGGGGGAGTTTTGAGCCAGGATGAGCCAGGAGAAGGAATTTCACAAGACAATGTCATCAGTTAAGGCAGGAACAGGCCATTTTCACTTCTTTTGTGGTGGAATGTCATCAGTTAAGTCAGGAACCAGCCATCTGGATGTGTACGTGCAGGTCACAGGGGATATGATGGCTTAACTTGGGTTCAGAGGCCTAACATTCCTGTCTTCTTATATTAATAAGAAAAATAAAATGAAATAGTGGTAACGTGTTGGGACAGCGAAAATTTTTGGGGATGGTATGGAGAGATAATGGGCGATGTTTCTCAGGGCTGCTTCGAGCGGGATTAGGGGTGGCGTGGGAACTTAGAGTGGGAGAGATTAAGCTGAAGGAAGATTTTCTGGTAAGGGGTGATATTGTGGGGTTGTTAGAAGGAACATTTGTAATTTAGAATTATTGGTGATGGCCTGGATACAGTTTTGTATGAATTGAAAAACTAAATGGAATAAGAGAAGGAGAAAAACAGGTATAAAAGGTCTAAGAATTGGGACGACTCAGGACATCTGATTAGAGAGTGCCTAAGGAGATTCAGCGTAGTCCTGTCAGCAAAGATTATTTACTTACTTCAAGAGTTAAGAGTGGCAGTATGGGGATAGCACCAGGAGATATCAGCTGTGATTGCTTGGAGAAACAGCGTAAACCGGCAGTGTAAACAAGAGCAGGGCATGTATGAGTAGTTGAGAATGGTGAATAGGAGTATGACTAGACAGAAGATAGTAGGGATGACAAGTTTTTTTGGGGCACAGTCTAAGTTAGTCTAGTGTCTGGAATGAGACTGGGGCCTAATAAAAAGGAGCGTTTATACAGGAGCTCAAATGCGCTGTACCCTGTAGCATTCTGAGGACAGGTCTGACTTCTGAGAAGGGAAAGTGGTAAAAGTATTGTCCAGTCCTTTTTAAGTTGATGGCTGAGCTTGGTGAGGTGTGTTTTTAAAAGACCTTTAGTCCGTTCTACTTTTCCTGAAGATGGAGGACCATAAGGGATATAAAGGTTTCACTGAATACTAAGAGCCTGAAAAACTGCTTGGCTGATTTGACTAATAAAGGCTGGTCTGTTATCAGACTGTATAGAGGTGGGAAGGCTAAACTGAGGAATTATGTCTGACAGAAGGGAGGAAATGACTGCAGTGGCATTCTCAGACCCTGTAGGAAAGGCCTGTACCTATCCAGTGAAAGTGTCTACCTAGACTAAGAGGTATTTTAGTTATCTGACTCAGGGCATGTTGAGTAAAGCTAATTTGCCAGTCCTGGGTGGGGGCAAATCCTCGAGCTTGATGTGTAGGGAAGGGAGGGGGCCTGATTAATCCCTGAGGAGTAGTAGAATAGCAGATGGAACACTGAGAAGTTATTTCCTTGAGGATAGATTTCTACAATAGAAAGGAAATGAGAAGTTCTAAGAGGCGGGCTAGTGGCTTGTACTCTAGCATAGCCTGCCTTTGCTGGTGTGTGACGATTAGGCCTGGTGGAACTGCCATCAATAAATCAAGCGTGATCAGGGTGAGGAACAGGAAAGAAGAAAATATGGGGAAATGGGGTGAATATCAGGTGGATCAGAGATGCAGTCATGGAGGTCAGGTGTGGTATCAGGAATAATGTGGGAGGCCAGATTGAAGTCCGGGCCAGGAACAATGGTAATTGTGGGACTTAACAAAGAGTGAGTACAGCTGAAGGAGCTGGGGAGCAGAAAGTATATGCATCAGGTATGAGGAAGAAAATAGATTTTGGAAGTTATGAGAAATGTAGAGAGTGGGTTGAGCATAGTTTGTGATTTTGAGGGCCTCTAAAAGTATTAGGGCGGCAGCAGCCGCTGCACGGAGACATGATGGCTAGGCTAAAACAGTAAGGTCAAGTTGTTTGGACAGAAAGGCTACAGGGTGCGGTCCTGGCTCTTGTGTAAGAATTCTGACCACATTAACCATGCCTTGGAAGGAAAGGAGTTGTTGTTTTTTAAGGGATTGAGGTTTGGGAGATTAATCGGACACAATCAGCAGGGAGAGCACGTGTGTTTTTATGAGAATTATGCCGAGATAGGTAACAGATAAGGAAGAAATTTGGGCTTGACTGAAGTAATGGGGGCTGTCTATGAAGCTTTGTGGCAGTACAGCCCAGGTAATTTGCTGAGCCTGATGGGTGTCAGGGTCAGTCCAAGTGAAAGCGAAGAGAGGCTGGGATGATGGGTGCAAAGGAATAGTAAAGAAAGCATGTTTGAGATCCAGAACAGAATAATGGGTAGTAGAGGGAGGTATTGAGGATAGGAGAGTATATGGGTTTGGCACCATGGGGTGGATAGGCAAAACAATTTGGTTGATAAGGCATAGATCCTGAACTAACTTGTAAGGCTTGTCTGGTTTTAGGACAGGTAAAATGGGGGAATTGTAAGGAGAGTTTATAGGCTTTAAAAGGCCATGCTGTAGCAGGCGAGTGATAACCGGCTTTAATCCTTTCAAAGCATGCTGTGGGATGGGATATTGGCATTGATCGGGGTAAGTGTGATTAGGTTTTAATGAGATGGTAAGGGGTGCATGATTGGTCACCAAGGAGGGAGTAGAGGTATCTTATACTTGTGGGTTAAGGTGGGGGAATACAAGAGGAGGACGCAAAGGAGGCTTTGGATTGGAAAGAAGGGCAGCAATGAGATGTAGCTGTAACCCAGGAATAGTCAGGGAAGCAGATAATTTAGTTAAAGTGTCTCGGCCTAATAAGGGAACTGGGCAGGTGGGGATAACTAAAAGGAGTGCTTAAAAGAGTATTGTCTAAGTTGGCACCAGAGTTGGGGAGTTTTAAGAGGTTTAGAAGCCTGGCTGTCAATACCCACAACAGTTATGGAGGCAAGGGAAACAGGCCCTTGAAAATAAGGTAATGTGGAGTGAGTAGCCTCGGTATTGATTAAGAAGGGGACAGACTTACCCTCCACTGTGAGAGTTACCCGAAGCTCGGCATCTATGATGGTCTAGGGGGCTTCCGAGGCGATCGGGCAGCATCAGTCTTCAGCTGCTAAGCCAAGAAGATCTGGGAAGCAGTCAGAGAGCATTGGGCCAGAGTTCCAGGGGCTCTGGGAGTGGCTGCCAGGTAAGTTGGACAGTCCAATTTCCAGTGGGGTCCCACACAGATGGGAAGCGGCTTAGGAGGAATCCGGGGCTGCAGGCATTCCTTGGCCTGGTGGCCAGATTTCTGGCACCTGTAGCAAGCTCCTGGGGAAGGAGGTTCTGGAGGAACACCTGGCCAGTGCAGTTCAGGCGTTTGGAAGTTCTTGTGTGCTGGAGATGTGGGTGGGGTTTGTCTCACAGTGGAGGCAAGGAATTGCAACTTTTTTCTATTATTGTACACCTTGAAGGTGAGGTTAATTAAATCCTGTTGTGGGGTTTGAGGGCCGGAATTTAATTTTTGGAGTTTTATTTAGTGTCGGGAGCAGATTGGGTAATAAAATGTATTTTGAGAATAAGACGGCCTTTTGACCTTTTAGGGTCTAGGGCTGTAAAGTGTCTCAGGGTTGCTGCCGAATGAGCCATGAACTGGGCTGGATTTTTATATTTGATGAAAAAGAGCCTAAACACTTCTGATTTGGGATAAAGAAAAAGGAACATTAACCTTGACTATGCCTTTAGCTCCAGCCATCTTTTTAAGAGGAAATTGCTGGGCAGGTGGGGGAGGGCTAGTCATGGAACGAAACTGTAAGCCGGACCGGGTGTGAGGAGGGGAGGTGATAAAAGGATTATAGGGTGGAGGAGCGGAGGCTGAGGAAGAATTAGGACCTAGCTTGGCCTGGCGAGGAGCAGCCTGGGGAGGAGGGGAGAGGTCAGATGGGTCTGTAGAAAAGGAAGATTAGAAAGACTCAGTGATGCTTGGGGTTGGGACTGAGGGGACAGGTGGGAGGGAAAGAAGGAAGATTTGAGATGAGTTGCATTGGGAACAGAGACTAGAGAGGGACCGATGTGTAAAAGAATGCCTGGACGTCAGGCACCTCAGACCATTTGCTCATTTTATGACAAGAATTATTTAGATCTTGTAGGATGGAAAAATTGAAAATGCCGTTTTCTGGCTATTTGGAACTACTGTCAAGTTTGTACTGGGGTCAAGCAGCATTGCAGAAGAAAATAAGACATTTAGATTTTAGGTCAGGTGAGAGTTGAAGAGGTTTTAAGTTCTTAAGAACACAGGCTAAGGGAGAAGAAGGAGGAATGGAAGGTGGAAGGTTGCCCATAGTGAAGGAGGCAAGCCCAGAGAAAAGAGAAAGTAGAGACATGGAGGGAAGGGGTTTGGGGGTTCTTACCCTCCAGAAAAGTGGGAAAGGGTTTGGGGCACAGAGATACGAGGTCAGGGCATGGAAATAAGGGATTGGGGTACAGAGATATAAGAGGTTGGGGCATGGAAATAAGGGATCGGGGCGCAGAGATAAAAGAGGTTGGGGCACGGAAATAAGGGATCCGGGCACAGAGATATAAGGGGTTGGGGTACTTGCCCCTCCCCTAGAAAAGCGGGACTTGCCGCTAAGGGTGAAGGAGAAGGGGTTGGGGGTTTCTTGCCCCCCAGAAAGGCGAAGAAGGGGTAGAGACACAGAGAGAAGGGGTTGGGGTACTTGCCCCTCCCCCAGAAAAGCGGGACTTGCCGCTAAGGGTGAAGGACCAAGGCAGGCGTCCTTGCGTGGTCTGACACCTCTGAAACCTGGGTGAATAATCAGAGAGGTGTCCCTGCAATGATTAAATACCAAGGGAAGGCTTCCTTCCCTAGTCCATGACCGGCGCCGGAGTTTTGGGTCCACGGATAAAACATGTCTCCTTTGTCTCTACCAGAAAATGAAAGGAATTGAAATTAAAAGAAGGGAGAGATTGAAGTGTGGTGCCAAGATTGAAAGGAGAAAGAGGTTGAGGGATAGTGAGGGAGGTTGGAGAAGAGAGTAAAAAGAGGCCGCTTACTGGATTTGAAATTGGTGAGATGTTTCTTGGGCTGGTCGGTCTGAGGACCTGAGGTCACAGGTGGATCTTTCTCATGGAGCAAAGAGCAGGAGGACAGGGGATTGATCTCCTAAGGGAGGTCCCCCGATCCAAGTCACGGCACCAAATTTCATGTGCGTCCATGTGAAGAGACCACCAAACAGGCTTTGTGTGAGCAACATGGCTGTTTATTTCACCTGGGTGCAGGCGGCCTGCGTCCGAAAAGAGAGTCAGCAAAGAGAAATAGGGGTGGGGCCATTTTATAGGATTTGCGTAGGTAAAGGAAAAAGGGGGGTTGTCCTCTGGCGGGCAGGAGTGGGGGTCACAAGGTACTCAGTGGGGGAGCTTTTGAGCCAGGATGAGCCAGGAGAAGGAATTTCACAAGACAATGTCATCCGTTAAGGCAGGAACAGGCCATTTTCACTTCTTTTGTGGTGGAATGTCACCAGTTAAGGCGGGAACCGGTCATCTGGATGTGTACATGCAGGTCACAGGGGATATGATGGCTTAGCTTGGGCTCAGAGGCCTGACATAAAGTAATAAAACTTCTAAAAAAAAATACTTAGCACGATGAGGTCCTGAGGCACGGAAATATTTAGACATTTTAAATAGATATTCAACAATGCTGTAAGTAACTGGTAGAATTTCCATACCAGGTCTCTTCCTATGTCACTAGCCCATGGGCACAAGAGGTCATGAAAGAGGAACAGAAATAGGAAAACCTGCATCAACACAGAAACAGCCTGTTCTTTGCCAGAATGGAGAACAAGGCAAAGCTGGTACTTTTAGAAAGCTGAAAATTTGTGCCAATGATTTTTTTCCTAGCTTATTTTTGGCTTTTTGATTCTAAGGAGTTTTGACCTACAAAGATGCTCAATATTTAAATAGACAGATATTTTTGTTTTATTTCTTCCATTGCTTTTATACTTCGGCATCCTCCTTACTGAGATGAGATAAAGTTTTCAAAAACATTGTATGGAATTATTTTCTATGTATCATTATTTAATTCATATGGAATTTATTAAGGGCATGAGATAAAAAATAATATTTCTTCCAAAAGGAAAGACAACTCTCTCAGACCATTACTTAAAAAAATCCCCATTGATTTGTGAAGCCACTTTTATAAAACATGTCCTTTTGGTGTATACTATGATTTGTTGATGGGTTCTCAGCTCTGTTCTGTTTATTTTTCTGGCTCATCTTACTTCCCTAGAATGCTAATTGAAATTATTTAAACTTTAAAATATCTTTCCAAATTTGATAGAAAAAATCTCCTGTAGAAAAAATTAATATAATACCTATTCGCCAACTATTCTTATTTATTCTATTTTCTTCATAAACTTTATGTTAACTTTTTTAACTTAAAAAAACATTTTCTTTGGGATTAAATGGTACACCTCAATTATTTAGGGAGTATTGCTATTTTCATAGTATTTTAATCTTCCCAATCTTCCTATGCAGAAACATTTTGACTTTATTTCAATTTAAATTATTTTAATATTTCAATTTATGCAACTCAGTAAACATACGTCGTGTGTGTATGTGTGTGTATCCTATGCATTTTAAAATAAGATTTTCTCAAGTTACTTGTTTTTTTCATGATTTATATTCGTCTTTGCTGGTTGAGGGCAAAAATATTAAGGCCCACACATTTTTTTGTCACATCACCTTAATAGTTTCCTGTAGTTTTCAGTTGATTTTATACGGCTTTTTCTTTCACCAATAGATCACTCCACAATGTATGTTATCTTGTTTCAAGATTCCATTTAAAAATACAAGGAAGTCTTATGAAATGATGGAAGGGGAGAGACCACTAAACCCAAACTTCCAAAATATAATATCCTCATCATATGATATATTTTGCTATAAAATCTTAGAATTCTTTAGAATTGAGTGGAAATTTAATCATACCAAACCTAATTCTTTCATTTTCAGGGAATGAAATAGAGAATGTGACATGTAGCTGTTGTCATGTTAAATGTTGGGGGGTGAAAGAAACATTGGTGACCACTTTATGGCGAGCAGTCATCAACATTCCAATATGTTATAGTCACATTACATTTTGTGACCTGTAATTTTCCCCATAAGTCATTTCAGCATAGCCCCCTTTGTCTTAAATGGACGTGCTTTATTTCAGAACAGAGGCAGAAGGGAAGGTTCCCCAGCTGTTGCTCTAAGCTGTTGTCTCAGCACATAGCACGCTAGCATGGGGCCACATGTTGCATTGGTCAAATCTCAAGGAGTGTCTGTAATGAGCCAATACAAACAGATGAAGCCTCTACATGGAAACTCTCTGCTCTAGACTCACGTTTGGCCAGGGGGCGTGGCCTGGAGGGTGTAACTCAGGGAACTCCACAGGAATAGTCCCGGCTGGGAACTTGCGTCCCTAAACCCACCAAAACTGCTATAACGAGCTCTGCGAGTGTATACTGTTATTTGCTCTGAAAGGCAGGGCTGTTACCCAAATCCCCTGGAGAGAGCCAGATTTGCAAAGTGTCTGATGTGAGCCCAGAGATCAGCAACAGATACCATAGACCTTTCTCCCCATCTGCAACCAGTCGGAAATAACTCTGTCCCTGCTCACCTCATCTTTGCTTCTGTTGTGGCTTGAAAATCGTATGAGAGTAACATCCTGGGATGAAAAATGCAGCTCGACTCCCTCAGGCTCCACTGCAGCTAAGTCCCCCAGATGGCTGAGGATCATTTATGCAGAAGATGGGGGACTGAATCTCTGTCTTTTTCTTTTAATGTTTTTGAGACGGAGTTTCACTCTTGTTGCCCAGGCTGGAGTGCAATGGTGCGATCTCAGCTCACTGCAACCTCCTCCTCCAGGGTTCAAGCGATTTTCCTGCCTCAGCCTCCTGAGTAGCTGGGATTACAGGCTTCCGCCACCACGCCAAGCTAATTTTCTGAATTTTTAATAGAGACGGGGTTTCACCATGTTGGCCAAGCTGGTCTTGAACTCCTTACCTTGTGATCTGCCCACCTTGGCCTCTCAAAGTGCTGGGATTACAGGCATGAGCCACCGCACCTGGCCAAATTTCCGTCTTTATAAAAAACATTCATGGCCGGGTGCAGTGGCTCACGCCTGTAAACCCAGCACTTTGGGAGGCCGAGGTGGGCGGATCACGAGGTCAGGAGATCGAGACCATCCTGGCTAACACGATGAAACCCCATCTCTACCAAAAAAAATACAAAAAATTAGCCAGGCGTGGTGGTGGGCGCCTGTAGTCCCAGCTACTTGGCAGGCTAAGGCAGGAGAATGGCATGAACCCGGCGGAGCTTGCGGTGAGCCAAGATCGCGCCACTGCACTCCAGCCTGGGTGACAGTGGGAGACTCTGTCTCAAAAAAAACAAAAAACAGAAAACATTCATAAACGTCTCCAACAAATACAGAGTGAACTCATTGTGTGCCTAAGATTCTGAGAGTTACAAAGGATGGGGAAGACCTGGTCTCAGACATCATGGAGCTCCATAGGCTAAGTATGGGTGAGGATATAGGGACAGGCTTCCACGTTCACTTACAGAATCTCTACTAGTCTCACCTGTAAGTGCTAAGTGCTAGATAGGTATATTAATGGAACACATAGAATCATTTGAAGGGAGCATCTACATTATTGCAAATACAGTGATTCTTGTATATATTATCTGTGAAAGTTACGAAGAAGTAAAAATAAGGGAATACCCCAGAACATCGGGGTTGGAATCTCTGTAATCTTTCTCCTCATCTGTAAGACGGAAGTTGCCGTATTTATAGATCACAGTGTTAGTGCAATATTTATTGAGAAAATGTAGGTATAAGATTTTTGTAAACAAAAAGTCCTCTACAAATACAGTTTTGGGTGGTGAGCTTTATTAGAAATAGTTTTGTTCAAATTATTTTACCAGCCTACAGAGCATATGTAGGTAACTTCTACCAGGCTAAAAAACAAACAAAACTGTGCATGATCCCAAAAGAGAGCACATATTAGTTAGATAAACCATTGGTTTAAGGGTTTAGGGAAGACAGTGATTATTTTCATGGTTGGTTGGCCTTGGTCACTGCATGGGTGCCAAGAGGCCCTGAAATGAGTTGTGTAAGGTAGGATTAATCAGGAAGTCTTGTTGGAAGAGGTGGGTTTTGACCTGGCTTAAAGAAGGCAGTGCCAGGAGGAAGCCCGAGATGGTGGTGGATTTATCCCTAAGAATTTAGGAACACAAGTTCTGCTTAAAGCTATACAGGCACAGTGTTTCCCAATGAAAACAGAGAACTCAGAGTGTGTTTTTCAGTCACAACCAGCATTCAGCCCTTCCTACTTACAAATTTTAAGACTTTGGAGGCTTGTTTCATGGATTATCAGAGACCTGGCCTCAAGGGATTAAGGTCAAACATCGGTTCCTCATGTGGCCGTTACACTGAATTGTTCCATAGTCACAGTCTGTACCTCTAAATGTGTGTGTGTGTGTGTGTGTGTGTGTTTCTAGAAGCTTTAGCCAGGGTGTGGTGAAAAGGTCACTATTCTACATTACTAGGGAGGGGTATCCAGTGGGGGCACTGGCCTCATGTTTGCATACCAGTCAGGGATTTACTGAATGCCCATATTGCTTTTTTTTTTGTTCACCTGTTGCTAGACCATGAGGTGAAGGTCTCCAAGGACAGGGGCTGTGACATATTCATCGGTGTGTGCTCAGTTCCCAGCACTATGCCTAGAAGAGGGTAGTTTTCAGTAAAGGCATGAGTGAATAACTGAATAAACCTCTAGCATAAAAATAAATATAAGGTATACTTTCTATCCATTATGAGCTGGTGAACACTGTCCCTTGCTTCATATTTTTATTTTTTACAGCTCTATTAAGATAGAAATGACAAAAGTTGTATATATTTAAAGTGCACAACATGATGAGACACATATATATCGTGACATGATTACTAAAATCAAGCTAATTAACATATCAATCACCTTACTTTTTTTTATTACACCTTACCTTTTTTTGGTGATAACACAAGATCTATCTTTAGCAAATTTTAAGTACACAGTACAGTATCTTTAACTATATTCTCCATGCTGTAATAAGATCTTTAAAACTTATTCATGTTGCTTAACTGAAATTTTGTACTCTGAGGCCAACATGTCCCCAAATCCCCTCCCTCAGCCCCTGATAACAACCATTCCACTCTCTACTCCTATGAGTTAAACTTTTTTGGATTCTACATGTAGGTGAGATCATGCAGTATTTTTCTTTCTGTATGTGGCTTATTTCACTGGGCATAATGTCCTCCAGGCTCATCCATGTTGTCACAAACGGCAGGATCTCCTTGTTAAAAGCTGAATAGTATTCCATTGTGTGTGTGTGTGTGTGTACACCACATATTCTTCACATATTTATCTGTTGATGGATGCTTTAGGTTGATCCCATGTCTTGATTATTGTGAGTAATAGCTGCAAATTGCAGCAATGATCATGAGGGTACAGATGTCTCTATGAGACACTGATTTCATTTCCTTTGGATGTGTACATAGAGCCAGGATTGCTGGATTAAGATAGCATTACAGGTAATACAGGATAAGACGACATTGCACCTCGGGTCCAGGTAGTGAGAAGGTTCCCTGCCACCCTGTTACCTGGAGCGGTCTGAGGGAGGCAACCACACTCAACAGGGAGATTGATCTGGTCTCCAAAAGCCAGGATCCAAAAGCCAGCTCTGGAGTGGAGCTGGGAAGTGATCCTGCTCCCCTGAGGGACACTGAGTCGTTAACTCCACCTTGTGGTGGCTGCTGAGCCCTGGCCACCCTGACAGGATGCAGGGTGAAGGCTGGGAGGCTCCAGGCACCTGCTGCCCATGCCCAGCGTAAGGCCCCTCAGCATCTGCTTCAGGAGGAGGAGGACTCCCAGGGATGGCTGGGGGCTCAGTGAGGCCCGAAGAAACTCTCTGGTCTCCAAAAGCCAGGATCCAAGCCTCATAGAGCTGGGTTCCCAGGATCCCACCCTCCAGAGCACGGTCCCTAGAAAGGATGGGCTGCCTACCCTTGAAGCAGGACAAGGAAGAAGAGCATGTAGAGGATGCTGGCAGAGTGGCTGTCTGAACATCCTCTGGATGGTCCAAGCATGGAAGGGCAGCTGGGAGGTTTCCTCTCATATCCCCATTTTCCCAGTGATGAGTGTGACATTCAGGGGAAAGTAGTGAGGGTGACCCAGCTCTTCTGGCTTCGAGCCAGCCCTCTCATCACTGAAATGCGAAAGCCATCTCTCACCTCCCATGTGCCCAGGGCTCCGCCACTGACTTGGCACTTCATGCATGAGCTAGGACCCACCTGGTCATCCAGTGAAAACACAGCTGTCCCAGGACACAGGTAAGAAGCTGGACAGTTGAGTTGTGGGTGGCTCGATGAGGGCACCCAGTGAATGAACAGTGGCGTGGGACCAGACCCAGCTCTGCGCTCTTCGTGCCCCACCACGGTGGCTAAGCTTTCAGAATCAATTAGTCCTGCTGCTTTATGTCCTTGCCAACGTGTGTGTTCATACTTCTGGCAGTTGGTTTGAGGAATACCACAGCCAAAACCTGCTACAATGTGGTCTGCTTCAGAGAGCTTTGCTCAGTGGCTTCCTTCTGTCATCTTGAGTGAGTTGAGAAAAAGAAAGAGAGGATTTGAAGGTTTATTCGAGGCTGTTCTAGAGTCAGCGAAACACTTCCCATATTTCTGTGGGCATGGCCAGATGGGGCATTGAGATGCTGCAACACCAAGCCCACAGTGGGCATTCCAAAGACAACACATGTTATTCCTATATAAATCAGGCACAGAGATGGCAAACATCTTCTTCATTTAGGTTGTGTTGAATTGTTCACTCATCTTGGCTATGTGGGACTTCGTTATGGGAGAAGACAATCCCAGCTGTAGGTAAAAGCAAAGGGTGTAGAAAAAAGAAAAATACGTGTGGGCAGAGGATGAAATGGACTTGAAGAGGTCACAGAGTGAGTGAAGACAAATAAATAATAGGGGCAAGGGAGGGATATGAAAAGTAGAGCTCACTGAGTGGTCAGATTTGTACTTTGCTTAACCCCAAAGGGGAAGAAGACGCTATGTGTTATTTCATAAATATCCTGCCATCAGAGAGCACCACCCAACCGGCATCATTTACCAGGACTGGGCTAACCTAAAATGAAACCACAGTCATTGTTGCTTTTGACTGAAATTAGAAAACCCCAGGAAACACACAACCCTATAAAAATATTTTTTTAAAGAGCAAGTCACCATGTCTCTCTCAAAAAGAAGTACAGACCAAGTCAGAGCAGATGCACGCTGTGCCTGGGAAAGGACAGCATGATCCGATCAGAGTCAAAGTACACACACACACACACACACACACACACAGTCTCTTTCTCTCATGCACATGAACACACATATATACACACATGCGCACACATGGGCACACACATACACACATACACACGTGCACATACACACATACATACATATAAACACACATATACACACATACACACATACATATCTAACCACATATATACACCACGCACACAAATATGCACACATACATACACATATTTTACATACATACACACATGCACATGCACATACACAAACATACATACGCACATATACACACATACATACCCCCCCACACACATATATACATATACAAACACGCACAACACACACACATATATACACACCCATATACTTACATATATACATACATATGTGAGCACACACATGCACATGCACACACATACCCATCTATGCACACATACACATCCACACACACATACACATACACACACAGCCTGGATTAATTGTGTCCCCTGCAAATTCCTATGTTGAAGTCCTAACCCCGAGTACCTCAGAATGTGGCTGTGCTTGGTGACAGGGCCTTTAAAGGGTGAAGTTAAAATGAGGCCTTAGGGTGGGCCCAGATCCAATCTGACTGGCGTCCTGAGGAAATTTGGCCGCATACAAAGACCAGGGATGCGCATGTGCAGAGAGAAGACCACGTGAGGACACAGCCAGAAGACGAGAAGACGGCTTGGTCTTCCTGTGGATGGGCGTTCCGTTGTTTCCAATGTTTTGCTGCAATAACCATCCTTTGTGTGCCGTTATGTCCCGGAATATACTTTTATTTCTATGGGACAGATTTCCAGGAGTGGGATGGCAGGATCAAAAGTAAAGATTTTAATAAAAACCGGCAATTCTGTGACCATCTCTAAGAAACTGTTTGTTTCTTTCCATGGGGAAACTGAGGCCCTGAGAGGCATCTGATTTCCACAGTAGCCAGGGAGCTTCAGCAGATTTTGGCAGGGCTCAGGGAACCCAGGTACATAAATCCAAAGATGACGGACTCTTCTCCAGGAGCCACTTCCGCCAGCAAAGCTTCCCTCTAAATCTTGTAGTTCCCTGTCAGGGAGCAGAGTACACCCCGCCCCCGCCCCAGCCTTCAGAAGTCCTGGGCTCTGCCCTTCCCCTCTGGCTCCACACTCAGCTAACTCCATGCCGGGCATGGTGCTGGGCCCCGGGGCACGATCTGAAGGCGCTCATCGCCTGCAGGGGACCATGACCAGCAAACCCAAGGTGGTTTTACAGCACATGCCAAGGGCTTGGGGAGATCCAAACAGGGCACCTCCGAGACGGAGGAAAGCAGGGGCAGCCAGGGCTTCCCAGAAGTGTGACACAGCACGTCTTCGCTGTTCTGGAAGGGCAGGCAGGGGCCAGCCCAGCAAAGGAGTGGGCAGGGTGTGTCTGACAGAGGAAGTGGGTGGGAGGAGGTGTGGCCCGTGCAGGAAACACAAAGTCCACACTCTCCCATCCAGGTGCCAGATGGGATTGGGAGACTCGGCTACCCTCCACAATCTCACTCTGCCAGGCCCCAGCTCCTCACCCATCCCCCACTGCAGCAGGTTCTGGCCAGCCTGTTGCTTTACTCCTGCACTCTCCTTACCATTCTCTCTAGGAAAATCCACGTATTGGCTCCCACCGTGTCTAGGATGCCTTCCCTGGATGCTGCCACTTGTCCCTTGTCTCCCACAAGCAGCCCAGTGCCTGGCGCTTTGTAGGTGTTCACTGAGTCCCTGTGGCACTTACCTCTGGAAATCCACATCTGGCATTTGATGCTATGCTATGAAGAGTTTTAGGCTCGTTAGGGCCTTGTCTTTTGCACTCACCAAGCCCTTTGCCGTGCACACCATCGGGGCTCAGCCAGGTGCTGAGAGACACAAACAGCATCCTTTGGGTCTCTGTGGACGTTGCAGCAACCTCATTTGCTGAGAATCATTTACACTGTGCTGAGACTTTGTTGAGAATGTGGCTGCACAAGCAAAATCCTCCTTCCCCCAAAGTACAGTAATTCAATTTCCAGCCTTCCCATCCAAAGAGCGGGGAGATATAGAATAATGTCATACCCACAGGAAGAGAAAAGGTTTTTTGTATGTTTCTCTTCCCACCAGGGCAGAAAACCATTAAGTATTGGCAGGCTGAGCTATCCCTGTCTCTTGTGAGCTTGTAAGGATTTCCCTTAGGTATTTGGCTCAGGGAGTTTTTAGGCAGATCTGGTGTACAGTTTAAACACACTTGGTAGAATCAGTACTGCTCTGAATAAGTGAGGAGTAAGGGATCATAATAAAGCCCATTGCTGGGGTCTCCCAGGTTCCGGAGCTTCCCTGTGCTGCCTGGGCAGTGGCCAAGCTCCCAGCATCTCACCCATGTCGAGAACACAGTCTTCTGATCAGCCACCACCCTGCCTGTGATGGACACGGGCAGCTGAGACCCACTTATTCTGCTGAGACAGGATCACGTGGGCATTCTTGAGTCTTGCCTTTTAAAGACATACTAAAATTGTCATTAAAGCTCATTTCTAAAGGCCCTTTTCTTCAGTTAATATTTTGCAGTCTAAACAAAAGTTGCACTTTATCTCAAATTGAAAGAACTTAAGAAATCTATGTTTGCTGGAAGTAATAACATATTAAGGAATAGGATGTTTATGCTAAGAAAATGTTCACTTGGGGCACTGTGCTTTGAGATAACTGTGCAGGCCTGCTCTGGAATTATTAGACATCTAGTCCTATTCTGTCCATAGGGCAGCCATTTGCAGCTGCAAAGTAACTTCAAAGGCCTCAGAAAGGGTCTACCTTAGAAAATAGCCAGCTTGAAAGACTTCCATCTATTCTGGGCAGAGGCTATTTCTAGAAAACGATTGCCCCGATAGCCGATCTCTAAGAGAGCCCTTTATCTAAGAGGTGTCATCTGGTTGGATTCTGAAATCATCTAGTAGGGTTTAAGGTGGTGCATTAATCAGAGGAGTTTTTTTCAGGAACCATGACAAGAGGGCAGTGGGGTCAATATCATCAATCCTGGCAGGAAGAGCCAGGTGCTGGGAACTGGTCCCTGTTCTTCTCTGAACAAGATTTGCAAACTCGGGCAAGTCACTTAGCCTCAAAGGCCTCTCTAGTTAATGATCTGATTTATTTAACTTTTTGGAGATAGTTACAGAGTATTAGGTAGAGGAAAGCATTACTGGTGAGTAAAAGAGAAACATATATCCAGTATAGTCCACACTTTCTGACATGGGTTGGTCCCATTTTTCCCTGATTAATGCTATCAGGATATAATCACTTAGATTACAGTGCCTGGAAGAGGGTGGAATAATTCAGGAAAAGTTTATGAAATAGGCAAATCTTCACTTGAGTTTAGAGGGATGGAGGAGGAACCTGGCCTGGAAGGGGAAGAATGTCCTGGGAGCGAGAGGATTTGCTTATCTGGTGCCTTGAGGAAGTGGTGGCTGGAATGGAGAGTTGGTGCTAGAGTTTGGATAAAAAGACAAAGGTTGAGAAACTAGAGTCATAGGAAAAAAATGTGTTAATTGATTTGCTGAGCTAGATAATGCATGGGCTTACTAGAAATAAGAGCTGTGGATTCAGATAAGAAATCTGCTGATCAGTTCCAGCTGGTTGATGTGTTAGTCTGTTCTCATGCTGCTAATAAAGACATACCAGAGACTGGGTAATTTATGAAGAAAAAAAGAGGTTTAATGGACTCACAGTTCCACTTGGCTGGGGAGGCCTCACAATCATGATGGAAGGCAAAGGAGGAGCAAAGGCACGTCTTACATGGTGGCAGGCAAGAGTGTGTGCAGGGAAACAGCCCTTTATAAAACCATCAGATGTAAGACTTATTCACTATCACTAGAAAAGCATGGGAAAAACCCACCCCCATGATTTGATTACCTCCCACCAGGCCCCTCCCACAACACATGGGGATTATGGGAGCTACAATTCAAGATGTGATTTGGGTGAGGACACAGCCAAACCATATCATTCTGCCCCGGCCCCTCCCAAATCTCATATCTTCACATTTCAAAACTAATCATGCCTTCCCAACAGTCCCTCAAAGTCTTAACTCATTTCAGCATTAGCTCAGAAGTTCACAGTCCAAAGTCTCATCTGAGACAAGGCAAGTCCCTTCCACTCATGAGCCTGTAAAATCAAAAGCAAGTTAGTTACTTCCTAGATACAATGGAGGTACAGGCATTGGGTAAATACACCCATTCCAAATGGGAGAAACTGACCAAAATGAAGGGGCTACAAGCCCCATGCAAGTCTGAAATCTGATGGGGGTCATTAAACCTTAAAGTTCCAAAATCATCTCCTTTGACTCCATGTCTCTCATCCAGGTCAAACTGATGTAAAATGGTGGCTCCCACAGCCTTGGACAACTCTGCCCTTGTGGCTTTGCAGGGTACAATCTCCCTCCCTGCTGCTTTCACAGCTGGCATTGAGTGTCTGTGGCTTTCCGAGGCACGCAGTGCAAGCTGTTGGTGGATCTACCATTCTGGAGTCTGGAGGACAGGGGCCCTCTTCTCATAGTTCCACTAGGCAGTGCCCTAGTGAGGACTCTGTGTGGAGGCTCCAACCTCACATTTCCTTTCTGCACTTCCCTAGCAGAGGTTCTCCATGAGGGTTCCACCCCTGCAACACACCTCTGCCTGGACATCCAGGCATTTCCATACGTCTTCCAAAATCCAGGTGGAGGTTCCCAAACCTCAATTCTTGTCTTCCACACACCCACAGGACCAACACCACGTGGAAGCTGCCAAAGTTTGGAGCTTGCACCCTCTGAAGCCATGGCCTGAGCTGTACCTTGGGCCCTTTTAGCCATGGCTGGAGTGGCTGGGAGGCAGGAGGCAGTGCAACAAGTCCCAAGGCTGCACATAGCAGGGGCGTTTTTCCCTCTTAGGCCTTTATGCCTGTAATGGGAGTGGCTGCCATGAAGTTCTCTGACATGCCCTGGAGACATTTTCCCCATTGTCTTGGTGATTAACATTTGGCTCCTCATTACTTATGCACATTTCTGCAGTTGGCTTGATTTTTTTTTTTTTTTTTAGATGGAGTTTTGCTCTTGCCACCCAGGCTGGAATGCAATGGCTGACTGCAGCCTTCACCTCCCATGTTCAAGCATGGGATTACAGGCACCCATGACCATGCCTGGCTAATTTTTTAGTAGAGACGGTGTTTCGCCATGTTAGCCAGGCACTTAAATTTCTACCCAGAAAATAGGTTTCTCTTTTCTACGGCACCGTCAGACTGCAAATTTTTCAAACTTTTATGCTCTGCTCCCTCTTGAATGCTTTGCTGCTTAGAAATTTCTTCTGACAGGTACCCTAAATCATCTCTCTCAAGTTCAAAGTTCCACAGATTTCTAGGGCAGGGGCAAAATGCCACCAGTCTCTTTGTATAGCAAGAGCGACTTTTCCTTCAGTTTACATCAAGTTTTTCCTCTCCATCTGAGACCACCTCAGCCTGGGCTTTATTTTCCACATCTCTATGAGCATTTTGGTCAAAGGCATTCAACAAGTCTCTAGGAAGTTCCAAACTTTCCCACATCTTCCTGTTTTCTTCTGAGCCCTCTAAACTTCCAAACTCTGCCTTTTACCCAGTTTCAAAGTTGCTTCCAAATTTTCGGATATCTTTACAGCATTGTCCCACTCCTGGTACCAATTTACTATATTAGCCTGTTCTCATACTGCTAATAAAGACATACCTGAGACTGTGTAATTTATAAAGAAAAAGAGGTTTAATGGACTCATATTTCCACATGGCTGGGGAGGCCACACAATCATGGTGGAAGGCAAAGGAAGAGCAAAGGCGCATCTTACATGGTGGCAGGCAAGAGATGATGTGCAGGGGAACTGCCCTTTATAAAACCATCGGATCTCGTGAGACTTATCACTATCACATGGACAGCACAGGAAAAACCTTTCCACATGATTCGATTACCTTTCCCAGGTCCCTCCCATGACACATAGGGATTATGGGAGCTACAATTCAAGATGAGATTTAGGTGGAGACACAGCCAAATCATGTCAGTTGGACTTCATGGACTAGGAAAATAAAATTTAAAAATAGAATGATTGACACAGGGTTGCCAACAAGATACTCAAAAACAAAACAAATAAAAAAACAAGCCAAACCAGCAATGGCAAAAACGTTATATGGCTGGACATTGTGGCTTATGCCTGCAATCCCAGCACTTTGGGTGTCTGGGGCGGGAGTTTGCTTGAGGCTCAGAGTTCAAGACCAGCCTGGACAGTAAAGTGAGACACCCATCCAGAAAAAACGAATGAAAGGAAGGAAGGAAGGAAGGGAGGAAAAGAAAGAAAATTAGCCAGGCATGGTGGCATGTGTATTGTCCCAGCTACTTGGGAGGCTGAGGCAGGAATATCACCTGAGCCCAGGATGTTGAGGCTGCAGTGAGCCAAGACTGCACTCCAGCCTGGACAACTGAGCAAGACCCTGTCTGGAAAAAAAAAAAAAAAAAGAACACGTGGATGTCAGAAACAGTGGGAATCATCTGCGAATTTAGAATAGAAGAAATTTAACCTTATAAAAATGTAATGACATTGTTTTTACACTCCTCTCCCATTTTGACAGAAATGAGCAAATGCAGTCACAGACCAGCACCATGATCTAACTAACCCATTTTGCAGACAGGATGATGGAGGCCTTGGAGATAGAATCAAAATGTGCCTTGATGTTCATGGGCTCTTTAGTTTACAGTGCACTTTAGTGAGATCTCTGAAAATAAAAAGATGTGTCTTTTCTTTGCAAGGGGTCACTGAAGATAGGGAAGTGGTAACAAGAGATCTTTATTTTATACTTTGTTATTAGCTTTAGATCCTGAATTTATACTATAAGCTCTAGAAGCTTTAAAACTTGAATAGAATTAAAATTGTAGAATTATGAAACTAAGAAGGCAAACGAATCTGGTCTGTCCCCTCATTTAACAGAAGAGCCAACTGAACCCTGCGAAGATCATGATTTATCTTGGTTCCTGACACACAGAGCTGGACACGCTGTGTCTGGTTTTATGGCCATTCATAAAACCCAGAAGTCATGTGCTGACCACCAAGGTTGAAGACTGGCATCAAAGTGATTAAGATCAATAATTGTAGACTAAAGGTAGTGAAGCAAAGTACATCTGATTGGAATTTTTGATACAAATATTTGTAATAAGAACATGTTAAATAGAGGATAATTTAAAATTGGTTAACTCACACACTGATATCTGTGGAAGAATCTAAAGTAAACTTCCCAAATGCTTGTGTGCCGTGCTGACTTTCTAACTGGGCTCAGCTGAGGCTCTAGGAAGCCTGGACACTCCCAGGCTCGCCTGCCTGCTGTGTGTATTCCACTGGGGAGAGTGGGGGCGGGTGGGGTAACCAGGGTGACTCCACCAGATGCCAGGCTGGGTCTGTGCCCACACATGGGGCCAGCCAGACAACATAGGAGCCTGTTCAGCTTCCCCCAGAACAAAACGCAGGATTGTTCCAGGGCTGCCCAACAGATAGGCAATAGTTACACTGGATGCTACTAAAGGAAATCCTGCCTTTAGATCAGGAATGCTGTAAAAAGATCAATCATGCCTCATGCCTGGGAAGTACCTTCTTAAAAAGAACAGCATCACCTCTGTCTTATCATTTATTCCCCCACAATGATCCAATAAAGTTGGTGGGGGTGTGGAAGCTATCCAGAAGACAGAGTAACTCATGTCTGGGCCACCAGGCCAGTATTTGCCAGGAGCTCAACTAATGCTTGGATGAAGAAAGAAAGGATGGAAGGAAGGCGGGGGAGGGAAGTGAGGGTACAGGTGGCATCTCTCTTTTAGACAGGAGAAAACAGGCTCAGGGAAAAAGTGATTTGTCCAATGTAACACAAGGGATTGATGGCAGGAATGTGTATGGGGGTGGGGGGCTTTGGGCTCCTGGCCCAGGTCTCTTGCTTCCCAGGACCCCTCCAGGGCCTCTCAGCTCTTTGCTAACAGGTACATTTGAGTTACACTTTTTAAAAAAATCTTATTTTAATTGGCAAATACAAACTGTATATAATTATCATGTACAACATGCTGTTTTAACATATGTACACATTGTGGAATGGCTAAATCAAGCTGATTAACATATGCTTTCCCTCACAAACATCAATTGTTTGTTTGTGATGAGAACACTTAAAAATCTCCTTTCTTAGAAATTTTCAAGAATACAATACAATGTTATTAATTGTAGTCGCCATGCTACATAATAGATCTATTGACCTTATTCTTCCTGCCTAACAGAAATTTGTGCCCTTTGACCAACATCTCCTCTCCTCTAGCCCCTGGTAACTGCCATTGTACTCTCTGCTTCTATGAATTCGACTTTTTCAGGTTCCACATATAAATGAGATCACATAGTATTTGTCTTTCTGTGTCTGGCTTATTTCACTTCACATGATGTCCCCAAGTTCATCCACGTTGTCTCAAATGACAGGATATCCTTCCTTTTTAAGGCTGGATAGTATTCAATTGTGTATATATACTACATTTTATTTATCCATTTATTTGTTGACGGACACCGGTTGATCCCATATCTTGGCTACTGTGAATAGTGGTACAATGAACATGGGAATGTAGGTATCTCTTCAACATACTCATTTCATTTCCTTTGGATATATACCCAGTAGTGGAATTGCTGGATCATAAGTTATTTGTAATCCATACTGTTATCCATAATAGGTGTACAATTTACATTCCCACCAAATGTGGAAGGGTTCCCTTTTCTTTACATCCTTGCCAACACTTGTTATCTTTCACCTTTTTGGTAAAAGCCATCTAACAGGTGTGAGTTGATGCCTCATTGTGATTTTAATTTGCATTTTCCTGATGATTAGTGATGTAGAGCGTTTTTCATATACCAGTTGGTCATTTGTGTGCCTTCTTTTATGCAATCTTGTTTATCTATTTTTGCATTTTTTTCCTGTACTTTTGGGTCATATCAAAAAAAATTATTGCCCAGGCCAATGTCAAGAAGTTTTTCTCTTGTTTTCTTCTAGTAGTTTTACAGCTTCAGGTCTTACATTTAGGTCCTTAATCCATTTTGATTTTATTTTTAATATGATGATGTTAGACAAGGATTTAATTTCATTCTTCTGCATGTGGATATCCGGTGTTCCCAATACCATTTATTGAAGAAACTGTATGTGCTTGGCACCATTGTAAAAAACCAACTGACTGGCCGGGTGTGGTGGCTCACGCCTGTAATCCCAGCACTTTGGGAGGCCAAGCGGGAGGATCAGGAAGATCAGGTCAGGAGATCAAGACCATCCTGGCTAATTCAGTGAAACCCCGTCTCTACTAAAAAATACAAAAAACAAAATTAGCCAGGCGTGGTGGTGGGCACCTGTAGTCCCAGCTACTCAGGAGGCTGAGGCAGGAGAATGGCATGAACCCAGGAGGCAGGGCTTGCAGTGAGCCAAGATCGCGCCACTGCACTCCAGCCTGGGTGACAGAGTGAGGCTCTGTCTCAAAAAAAAAAAAAAAAAAAAAAAAAAAACAACTGACTAACTTCATGGATTTATTTCTGTGCTTGCTATTCTCTTTCACTGGTCATTGTCTCTTTTTATGCCAGTGTAATACTGTCTTGACTATTATAGCTTTATAGTATATTTTGAAGTCACGTAGTATATAATGTCTCTGGCTTTTTTCCCCTCAATATTACTTTGGCTATTTGGGGTCTATTGCTTTCCATATGGATTTTAGGATTTTTTTTCTATTTCTGTGAAAAATTTTACTGGAATTTTGATAGGAATTGCATCGAGTCAATAGACGGCTTTGGGTAGTATAAACATTTTAACTTTCAGTATAAACATTCTTAACAAATTTAGTATAAATGAATGTACCTCAGTGCAATAAAGGTGACAAACCTTTATTTATTCATAAATTGATATTAATATTAATTATTCTAATCCATAAACATGAGATATCTTTCCATTTATTTATGTCTTCCTCAACTTCTTTAATCAACGTTTTATGGTTTTCAGCATACAGATCTTTTACCTCCTTGGTTAAATTTAGTCCAATTATTTGGTAGCCATTTAAAATAGGATTGTTGTCTTGATTTATTTTTTGGTAGATTTTGGTGAGTGTATAGAAAGGATAATGATTTTTGTATGTTGTGGATAGAAAACATATCCACAATTTATGTTTTGTGGATAGGAAACATATCCATAATATATGTTTCGTGGATACAAAACATATATTGTGGATACAATACATACTGATTTTTGTATGTTGTGGACACTAATTTTTGTATGTTTTGTATGTTGATTTGCTATTCTGCAACTGCACTGAATTTGCTTATTAGTGAAGAATAGTTTTTTGGTGGTGTCTTTAGGGTTTTCTATATACAAGAGTATGTCGTCTGCAAACAAGAACAATTTAACTTCTTCCTTTCCAATTTGGATGCCTTTTATTTCTTTTACTTGCCTACTGGCTCTGGGTAAAACTTCCATTCCATAAAACTTCTATTATGTTGAATAGAAGTTGCAAGGGTGGGCATCCTTGTCTTATTCCTGATGCTAGAAGAAAATGCTTCAACTTTTCATTGTGGAATATGTTAACTGTGGGTTTGTCATATTAAAGTTTTGTCATCTTTATTGTGTTAAGATACATTTATTTATACCTAACTTTTAAAGAATTTTTATCCTGAAAGGATAATGAGTTTTATCAAATGCTGTTTTTTGCATCTATTGAGATGATCATATGATTTTTGTCCTTCATTCTGTTAATGCAGTGTATATCACATTTACAGATTTGTGTATGTTGAACCATCCTTGCATTCCTGGGGGAATCTCACTTGATCATGGTGAATGATCCCTTTAATGTACTGTTGGATTCAATTTCCTAGTATTTTGTTGATGATTTTTGCATCCATGTTCATCAGGGATATTGGACTCTAATTTTCTTTTCTTATAGTGTTCTTTTCTGTTTTTGGTATCAGGGTAATTCTAGCCTCATAAAATGAATTTGAAAGTATTCCCTTTTTTATTTTTTGGAAAAGTTTGAGGAGGATTTCTCTTATTAGTTCTTTAAACGTTTGGTACAATTCAGTAGTGAAGCCATTAGGTCCTGGACTTTTCATTGATGGGAGACTTCTTATTACTGATTTTAATCTTGTACTCATTGCTCTGTTCAGATTTTTTATTTCTTCCTGCTTTAGTCTTGGTAGGTTGTTTGCCTCTAGGAATTAATCCATTTCCTTAGTTATACAATTTGTTGGTATATAATTGTTCAAAGTAGTCTCTTATGATCATTTGTACTTCTTCAGTATCTATTATAGTGTTTTCTCTTTCATTTATGATTTTGTTTGAGTATTCTGTTTTTCTTAGTTTAGATAAAGTTTGTCCATTTTAATTATCTTTTTAAAAATTATTTCTTAGTTTTGTTTCTCTTTTTTATCATTTTTCTAGTTTCTTGTTCTTCTGTTTCTGCTGTGATCTTTATTATTTCCTTTTCTCTACTAACTTTTGGGTTAGTCTGTTCTCCTTTTTCTAGTTTTTTGAGATATAAATGTTAGCTTGTTTATTTGAGATCTCTCTTCTTTTTTAAAATAAATATTTATTTTTATTTTTCACTTTTTGTTTGTTTGCTTTTTGAGATGAGTCTCACTCTGTCACCCAGGCTGGAGTGCACTGGCTCACTACAACCTCTGCCTCTCAGGTTCAAGCAATTCTCCTGCCTCAGCCTCCCAAGTAGCTGGGATTACAGGTGCCTGCCACCATGCCTGGCTAATTTTTGTATTTTTAGTGGAAATGCAGTTTCACCACGTTGGCTAGGTTGGTCTTGAACTCCTTACCTCAGGTGATCTGTCCGCCTCAGCCTCCCAAAGAGCTGGGATTACAGGCATGAGCCACCACAGCTGGCTGTCTATGTTTCACTGTTTTGTGACAGAGTCTTGCTCTGTCACCCAGGCTGGAGAGCAATGGTATGATCATGGCTCACTGCAGCCTTGACCTCCTGGGCTCAAGTGATCCTCCCACTTCTGCCTCCCAAGTAGCTGGGACTACAAGTAAGTCATCACAACTGGCTAATTTTTCTTTCTTTCTTTCTTTTTTTTTTCTTTGTAGAGACAATGTCTCACTCTGTCATCCATGCTGATTTCAAATTCCTCCTGATCTCAAGCCAGTCCTCCTGCCTTGACTTCACAAAGTGCTGGAATTGCAGACATGAGCCACTGATCTGGGCCCTCTTTCTTCTCTTTTGATGTGTTTATTGCTATAAACTTCCCTCTTAGAACTGTTTTTGCTGCATACCATAAGTTACTGATATGGAATGTTCTGTATATGTCTATTAGTTAGATTTGGCTTAAACTGTAGTTTAAATCTGATGTTTCATTATTAATTCTCTGTATGATTTGTCCATTGCTAAAAGTGGAGCTCTTAAAGTCCTCTATTCTTATTGTATTATGCTCTATCTTTCTTTTTAGATCTATTAATATTTGCTTTGGTTGACATATGTAGGTACTCCAGCCTTGGGTACATATATTTTTACAATTGTTATATTATCTTAATAAATTAATCTCTTTATCATTGTATTATAATGATAATAATATATTCTTTGCCTTTTTTACAGTTTTTGACTTAAAGTTTATTTTATCTGTTACAGATTGAGTTTCCTTTATCCAAAATGGTTGGGACCAGAAATGTTTTAAATTAAGTTTTTTTTGATTTTGGAATATTTGCATTATATATTTACTGTTTTAGCATTCCTAATCTGAAAACCAAATCCAAAATTCTCCAGTGAGCATTTCCTTTGAGCGTGATATCAGCACTCAAAAGAATTTTAATTTTGGAGTATTTAAGACTTCAGGTTTTTGGATTAGGAATATTCAATCTGTACAACTATCCCTACTCTTTTTTGGTTTCCATTTAATAAAATATTTTTTCCATCCCTTTCCTTTCAGTCTAGGTATGTTGTTATAAGTGAGATGAGTATCTAACAGGCAATATATAGTTGGATCTTATTTTTTAAACCATTCAGTCACTGTGTCTTTTTTTTTTTTTTGAGAAGGAGTCTCACTCTGTTGCCAGCCTGGAGTGCAGTGGCACAATCTCAGCTCCCTGCAACCTCTGCCTCCCAGGTTCAAGCGATTCTCCTGCCTCAGCCACCTGTGTAGCTGGGATTACAGGTGCACGGCACCATGCCCAGCTAATTTTTGTATTTTTAGTAGAGACAGGGTTTCACCATATTGTTCAGGATGGTCTCGATCTCTTGACCTCATGATCCCCCCACCTCGGCCTCCCAAAGGGCTGGGATTACAGGCATGAGCCATCATGCCCCACCCACTGTGTCTTTTTATTGGAGAATTTAATCAATGTTCATTCAAGATAGTTACTGGTAAGTAAGGACTTACTATTGGCATTTTGTTAATTGTTTTCTGGTTGTTTGGTAGACCTTTTGTTTCTTTCTTCCTCTCTAGCTGTCTTCCTCTGTGATTAAGTGGTTTTTCTCTAGTGTTATGCTTTGATTCCTTTTTATCTTTTGTATATCTACTATTGGTTTTTGCTTCTGGTTACTAGGAAACTTACAAAAAATCTTAGTTATAACAGGCTATTTTATACTGTTAACTTAATTTTGATTGCAAGAAAACTTTACACCTTCACTCTCCACCTCCCCACATTTAAAATTTTTGATGTCAAAATGTATATCTTTTTATAGTATATACCCCTTAACAAATTATTATAGCTATTATTGTTATTATTTACTTTTACCAGTGAGTTTTATTTTTTCAGTTTTTTTTTGTAACTAATTAGCATCTTTTTACTCAGCTTGCAGACTCCATATAACCTTTCTTGTAAGACAGGTCTGGGGGTAATGAACTCCCTCAGCTTTTGTTTGTTCAGTAAAGTCTTAATATCTCATTCATTTCTGAAGAGCAGCTTCGGTGAATACAGTATTCTTGGTTTGTAGTTTTTTCTTCAGCACTTTGAATATATTATCTTACTCTCTCCTGACCTGTAAGTTTCCTGCTGAGAAATTTGCTGATAGTCTTACTAGAACTCCCTTATAGGTGATTTGCTTATTCTCTCTTTCTGCTTTCAGAATTATCTCTTTGTCTTTGATTTTTGACAGTTTATGTCTTGATGTCATTGTGTTTGAACTGAATTGAATTGGAGACTTTTGACCATCCTGTACCCGGATATTTATATCTTTCCTTGATTTGAAAAGTTTTCTGTTATTATTTCTTTAAACAAGCTTTCTACCAGTATGTTTCTCTCTCTTGAAGTCCTGTAACTCAAATATTAGCTCCTTTCATGTTCCTTCATAAGTTCAATAAGCTTTTTCCTTTTTAAAGGATAAATTCCTTTTTATCCTTTTTTCTTTTTTCCCCTTTGACTGTATGTTTTCAAATAACCTATCTTCAAGTTCAAAGATTCTTTCTTCTACTTGATTGATTCTGTATCTGATGTGTTCTGTTGAATTTTTCATTTCATTCATTGTATTCTTCAGTTTCAAAATTTCTGTTTGACTGTTTAAAACAACTTCAATCTCTCCATTACGTTTCTCATTTTGGTCATTTATTATTTTCTGATTTCATTGAATTATCTGTATTTTCTTAAAGTTTGCTAAACTCCCTTAAAACAATTATTTTGAAATCGTTGTCAAGCTGTTAATATATCTCTATTTCTTTGGGACCAGGTACTGGGAGATTATTCTGTTCTTTTACTGGTGTTACATCTTCTTGGTTTTTCATGTTTCTTGTTGCCTTACACTGATGTTTGCACATTTAAAACAGAGACTTATTTTAGCCTTGGCAGACTAAAAAAAGTGTCCTACACAAATCAGCCTGCCCAGAGATTCTAGGCAGGCTCCCTGGTATAGTTTGTAAGAAACTTTACTGCTGGAATCTTCAGGCAGGCTGACCTGGTGCCTGGGCCCATGTGGTGGGTCTACATCCTGGATCCACTGGGGGGACAAGTTGACTGGGTCTATGGGGTGGGCCTGGAGCCTGGGTCCAGAAGGGCAGCCCTGGAGGGAATGGCCTGAAGCCTGGGTCCACAAGAGCTGACCTGGCACTGGAGTGGGCCTTAAGCTTTAGTCTGCAGGGGCTTTCTGGGCACTGAGATGGTCCTGGGGCTTGGATACATTGGGGTGTGCCTGGTGTATTGGTCCATTGGGGCCAGCCTGGAGGGTGGGTTCATGAGGGCTAACCTAGATCCTCGGGCTGTAGAGGCTGGTTTGAAACTTAGGTCCACAAGGGATGAGGTCTGGGGGGCTGGCCCAGCACTGGGATCTACTGGCATAGGCCTGTAAAAATCTTCATAGATCATGGAATCTTTGGCTGAGAAACACTTGCTTCTGAACAGAATGAGGTTCTATGAGGCCTGTCTAAGTAGGAGTTCTGTTAAGCTGTGCACTTAACAGAGAAGATGAAGGTAGTATAATACTGAGAGACAAGAGTTCCACTCAGCCAGAGAAGAGTGACCTCACTGAACATGCCAGGCTTTCAGCTAATGTAGCAGAAAGGCCACATCTTAGAAGTAAAGCTACTCTACTTAGAGTAAGGACTATTCCAGACTCAGCCTAACAGGGTTTAAAAATAGGCCTCAAAAGAATTAAGTTTATCTACCTGTAAATTTTCTGTCAGCACAAAATTATATGGTTTCCAGAGAAAGACATCAAAATATGGACTCTTAACAATGTAGTATTCACAATACCCACCATTAGGTCATACACTGATGGACAGGTAGTGAGCAGGAAAATGTGATCCATAATCAGGGGGAAAACCAATAGAAAGTAACCCTGAAATAATCTAAATGTGGTAATTAGAAGTAGGCAAGGACTTTAAAATCGTTATTATAATATATTCAAGAAATTAAAGGGGAAATGCTTATAATACAAAAATAGGCATAGGATTTCAGCAGAGTAATGGAAACCATAAAAATGAAGCAAACAGAAATTTTAGAACTAAGAATTAAAATATCCAAAATGAAAAATTAATTGGCTGGGCTTAATAGTAGATTACGTTTGACAAAATAAATTATCAGGGAACTTGCAGGTTAATACATGAACACTGTCAATTCTGAAAAAGAAAGAGAAAATAGATTGAAAAGAGATTGACTTGTGGGACAAGATGAAAAAGTCTATACACATGTAGCTGGAGTTCCAGACAGAGAAAAAGGAGAATATAGGGCAGAAAATATTATTTGGAATACATGACTTAAACTTTCCCAAATTTAAACTTACAGACCCACGTAACTCAGTAAACCCAAGAAAAATAAAGACAAAGACATTCACACCTTGGCATGTCATAGGCAAGCTGTTGAAAATTGAAGATAAAGAGAAAATATTTGAAATGGGAGAAAAAAACAACTAATAACAGTGAGAAACCACATTAACTACAGGGAAGCAACAACATGAATAATGACTCACATCAGAATGATTCACATCAGAATTAATGGAGGGAGAATACTTTGAAAAAAACTTCTTTAAAGTTCAGGGGAATAAAAACAACCTTCAACCCAGAATTCTGTACCTAGCAAAAATTTCATTCAAAAATGATGATGAAATACAGACTTTTTCAGGTGAATGAAAATAGAATCAGTCACCAGCAGATTCACATTATAAGGAATAGCAAAAAAAGTTATTCAGGCTGAAAAAAATCGACTCCAAATGTAATTGTAGAAGTACAGGAACAAGCAAGGAGCATCAGAAATAGTAAGTATATGGCACATATGAAGATTACACAGTTTTTTATTTCTCTTAATTTTTAAAAAGACAATACTGTATTGGGGATTTATAATGTATTTAGATATGATAAATATGACAATAATATAACTAAGGATGGTAATAAGTGGAACTATAATACTTCAAAGTCCTTATATTTTATGAGAAGTGGCACAACTTTAATTCTAAGTAGACAGTGATAAGGATTTATATTGCAATCCCTACAGGAACAACTAGAAGAATAATGACAGACATGCAGCTGAAAATCCAGTGAAGGAACTGATGAACACTGAGTTGTGCCTTCTAGATCCCTCTAAGGAAAGACTTGTTGACCTAGCAGCAGGGACTGTTGTTGGCTGATGTCTTCTACTGTCAGACCCTTCAGTAATTATGTTAGCTTCAGAAAGGCGTCTTGCCCACTCCTTCCTTGGGCAGCCCACATTAAATGAGAGAACAATAAAAAAAATATAATGTCTGACCATTTTGGCCCAACTGAGGTCAACTCTGAAAAGCCACTGTAGCTCCAGAGGTCTCTGTGGGTCTTCAGGTGTTACTGTTGGGCCCCTGTTACAGCTCAACTTCTCTCTCTGCCCCATTCTCCTTCCTTTTCCTTTCTCCCTCCTTCAGGCATTAATCTCAAGGACACTCTTGAACAAGCACTTATGCAAAATTCTTTCTCAGAGACTTTCCCAGAGAACTCAATCTGTAACAGTTAATAGCAGGAATGTACTAAGAAAGCAGGTGAAACAATAGAGTTTTGGAGCTGGCACACTCACTTATTCAGCTGGCAATGAGGACCTCATCACTGGTGGTAGGTGGAGTTGGTAGATGGAGGTAATAGATGGCAGATGGAGATAGCTTCTAGTATAAGACTAAGAAGTGAAGTCTAATGGCTTCACTTCTCTAGTGGGAAACTGAGATAGTATAATGAAGAGATGTGCTGAAATGTGGATGACATGATACATCAGGCATTTCAAAGAAAAGTATAACAAAGACTTGAGATTGATTAACAAGCAAGTGGAAACCTTGGTAGCATACAAAGACTTTCCCATCTGCAGCATGAGAAAAGACAGAGCTGAGGATAAGACCTCAGACTTAATTCAGAGTAGCCAAGCTTTAAAGAATGCTAAATGCCCAATCAAGGCAGGTCTGTTATACCAAAGTCAGGGTGCTCAATGGGACGCATGGAGTGGGGCAAGCGGGTCAATGTTCCTCCAAATATTTTTTTTAAATTTGTTGTTTAACATAGATAAAATTCACCATTACAATGTCAAATTCTTCAATTTAGTGGTTTTTATTATATACAAAATGTGCAACCATATCATTATCTAATTCCAGAATATTTCCATCATACCCCAAAGAAACCATGTACCTCCCCATTCCCTCCTTCTCCCACGTTCTGGAAATTGCCTATTTACTTTCTGTCTCTACAGATTTTTCTATTATGGATATCCTATAGAAATGAAGTCATACAAAATGTGGCATTTTGTGTCTGGCTTCTATCACTTAGCATAATGTTTTATAGGTTCATGCATGTTGTTGCATGTGTGAGGTCACTAAAACTTGTACCTATGTTTTCTTCTAAGAATTTATAGTTTCAGCTCTAATATTTGGGTCTTTGACCCACTTTGCATTGATTTTTGTATACGGTGTAAAGCAGGGATCCACATTTATTCTTTTGCATGTAGATATTCAGCATCATTCGTTGAAAGGATTATTATTTCCATCTTCAAATGGTCTTGGAACCCTTGACAAAAATCAATTGACCATAGGCATATAAACTTATTTCTGGACTTTCGGTGCTAGTCCATTGTTCTACACATTTATCCATATGCCAGTATCACATTGTTTCAAATACTGTAAATTTGTAGTAAGTTTTGAAACTGGAAAGTGTGAGTCCTCCAATTTTCTTCCTTTTTAAACATTGTCTTGGCTATTTGGTGTCACTTGTTCATTTTAGAATCAATTTGTCCATTTCTGAAAAAAAAAAAGCCACTGGAATTTTGGCAGGAATTGCATGGAATCTGTTGATCGGTTTGGCATATATTGCCATCTTGATATTATTAAGTTTTCCAATCCATGAAATTACACATCTTTCCATTTATTTAGGTCTTTATTATTTTTCAATAATGTTTTGTAGTCTTCAGTGTACAACACTTGCACTTCCTTGGTCAAATTTATTCCCAAATATTCTTTTTGTTGCTATTATAAACTGAATGGTTTTATTAACTTTATCTTTGGATTGTTCATCGCTACTGTATAGAAATACAACTGATATTTGCATGCTGATCTTGTATCCTGCAACTTTTCTGAACTCATTTATTAACTCTTACTGAGTTGTAACTTACATTTGCCTATAAATGTTGTTTGACAGATGCTCTCAGGTGGTGATTTTAGCACTGGGTGAGTTCAAGGTATGTGATATGAAGGCAAACCTTTTAAGTTGGTGTTCCAGGGATCCACCAAACAGGTCAAAACAGTTACAATTCTTGGCAAATGAAGTTTATTCTGCTCTCTATTGCACTAGGGATGTAGGATTGGATGATCAAGACTATCACTGAGCTGGGGCATGGCAGATGGAATTGGGTAAATGAAAAAGCCATAGAGTTTGATTTTCTTACTGAGATTCAACTTTTTACAAAAGCATCTCTTAGTTATTGGAAGCTGTTAGCTCACTTCTCGAGTTCTGAACAATTGATTTTGAAAGTTTTTGCCAGTTTTTTTTCATTGCTTTTATGGTTGGGTGGACTTTTGGATTTTCTTGCTCCAGGATTTTCACATACTTCAAGCTATTGTTAAATCTTGAATGCACAAATTCCTCTAAATCCGAAGAGTCTATAGAGGTGGGTTACTTTTCCCTCACATGTAAACAATGCAGAGGCCTCTACCCTATAAGACAACATGTGACCCCTTGGGATCCCCCCACCTGCCCATCTATCACTAGTCTTATAGCTAAGGATAAGTTTGAACCCAACCTTAGCCACGGTTGCACTGACCCTGATAGGAGAGGAAAGGGACTATATCCCAAATAAGCTGCAACACTTAGCATTGATAGGTAGGAGCTGGAAGAAGACTCAAATCATAGGACTGGATTCAGAGGAGACTGTTTTGTTTTTTTTTAACTTTTTAAATTGACACATTGTAATTGTACATATTTATGGGGTAAAATTTGATGTTTTGATACATATCTATGTTGTATAAAGATCCAATCATGGTAGTTTGTATATATATCACCTCATGCATTTATCATTTGCTTGTGGTAAGAACCTTCAAAAGCCTCTCTTTTAGCTATTTTGTAATATACAATATTTTACCATTAACCATAGTCACTCTGCTGTGCAATAGAACATCAGAATTTATTCCTCCTAATTGTAACCTTGTGCCTGTTGACCAACCCTTTCCCATATGCTCCCTAGTCTCTGGTAACCACTGTTCTACTCTCTGCTTCTATAATATCAACTTTTTTTTTCTTCCTGAGCATGCTGTTTTGAAAAAGAGACCAAAACATGAGGTTGGAAACTGGAGAGTTTATTGATTTGAGATCCCTTTCCCAGTTACAAGCTTTAACATGCTGGCAAGGGCCTCAGAATACAGTGTGAACTCACTACTGGGATGGCTCCTAGGAGCCTAGAAACAGTAATGGTCCATGCCAAGTGAGGTTGAAATTCCAGAATTACCATGGTTGCCAGTGGGAAAAAGGATTAAAAGGCTCAGAGAAGTGAGCCTGCGGGAGGGCATAGACTTTGTAAGACTGGGAAACCCACCAAATGCCTGTGTTTCATGGGAAACTTCAAGAGAACACTATTTCCAGGCCACAAGGAATGCATTGGTACATGCAGTTGCCACAGTAAACGGCAAGGTTGTAGGGACAGTCGGGGACCTGATTACCTGAGAGTTAGACCCCTAATAGATTATGGCATGTTTAGGGGCAAAATAAATGAGCTGCCAACAAGGTTACTACTCAATCTGTACAAAAAACAAAACAAAACAAAGAACAAAACAAGGATAGATGATCAGGAGGTTGACAGCAATTGCCCTCGTACAGTGTTATGATTCCTTGAGCAGTTACTGAATCAATGCCATTTTTATTTTATTTTATTTTTACCAGAAATGACATTCATCTTTTGAAAAGTATCTGGGCTCCAGGAGGAAGAATCCTGCAACATCACAGCAAGTTCACACAATAATAATTACCCCAGTCTTTCTGCAAAGGGATTTATGGCCAGTTACTTGGGTAATTGTACACTACGGAAAGGAGAATACCAAACATGTCAAGGATTGTTGGACACTGGGTCGAAGTTGACATAGACATCCAGAAACTCAATACATTATCATGTACCCCATGTCAGAGATTGGGCATATTGGGGGTGAGTAATAAATTGAGATCTGCCAAGGTTAGGATCTCAGTGGGTGCAATGGCCATTTTCCTTCTCTATACATGGATGCATCATATTTGGTAGTTGGCATAACCTCATATCAGGTCCTTGGCCTATTGGGTAGGAGCCCAAAGGAAAGCTCCTGAAATGGTTCCCTCCCACCCTTGCCTCAGCAGAGATAGTATATAAAAATCAATATTGTATCCCCTGAGGAGGATGATGGAAATTAATCCCCTCCTTAAAGATCTAAAAAGTGCAGTACAGTGGTTCTCATCATATCTTTATTTAACTCACCAGGCTGGGCTCTGCAAAACCCAGGTGAACCCTGGAGGATGACAGTAGACTACCACCAACTCAAGCAAGTAGTAGCAAGCCTTGCCCTCACCCTGCAGAATATGATATATTTAGAAGAGGTCAACACAGCCTTAGGGGCATGGCATGTGGCTATTGATTTGGCAAATACGTTTTTTCACATCCTTTGCAGAAAAGAGGATGAGAAACCATTTGCACTCACATGAAATGGTTAATAGTGTAAATTTTAACTGAAATGGTTAACAGTGTAAATTTGCAGTGTGTCCCAGACCTGTTAGTTCTTTGTCCTACCCACCCTCTGTTACAATATAGTCCAAAGAGATCTGGACTGTTTGAATGTCCTGGCCTTTGATTCATTTTATCAGTGGTATCGTGAGAATGGGGCTGGATGACAAGAAATCCAAGAATTGGAAGCCTTGGTAAGTCACACGCATTCCAGAGAGTATGAGATAACCTCCATGAACATTCAGGGGCCCGCCATCTTAGTAAAATGTTTAGGGATTCAGTGGCCAAGGATATGTTGAAATATCCCATCCAAAGAATAGGGCAAAGTATTGCATCTTACGTCTCCCATGGTGAAAAAAGGGATCACAATGTTAGTTCCTATAGTGGAAGGCATGAGAGACTTCCAGCTTGGAGTGGGGCCCAGAGTAGGAAAGTATAGGATGTAAGCAGCCCTGCCACTTGGGCCATACAGCCTGACAGATCCTATGATACAGGAGGTGTTAGTGGTGGGAAAATGTGCCAGGTACAGTTTAAAACACATGCCTTGTGGGAGAATCATAATGAGGACTCCTATGTTTCTGGGGCTTAGTCATGCCATCTGCAGTGGAGAACTCTATGCCTTCTGGAAAACAATTTCTATTGTGCTACTGAGCCCTGAAGATGGGGCACCTGACTGTGAGAACCAATGACAATGTGGCAACAATTGCCCATATGAATGGGCTCTGTCAGAACCACCAAGTCACAAGATCAGGTGGGCCCACTGTATCATGGAATGGGTGCATTTGGTATTGAGTACGAGCTGAGCCAGAAGGTTTACCAGCTCATGAACAGGTAACCCAGGACCCCATGTCACCCACTGTGTTGCACAGGGTCAAACAGACACATGGGCAGTGGAGAATCACTTGACTGATGGGCCACTGGTCTAAAAAGAGAAAGATTGGAAGGCTGGGGAGTTGGAGGCCTGAGGCAGTGGTGTGTATGTGGACACAGGAGAAGGATGAGTATTCCATGTCATGTGTTGTATGTTTCCACCTTGGAAGAGGAATTGAACAACTGAGGAAACAAAATGACTAAGCCAAATGATATGAGCTGGCCAGTAACTGGTCACCACCAGGCCAGCCCAGTGGATACCTGGGGAGGCCAGCTGAGGCAGGAATGGAGGCGTGGGTGCAAGACTCTGGGCTTGCAAGGGGCAGGGTGGATTGAGCTGCTGCTGCCACCAAATACACAACCTGCCAGCAACAAAGATGAATGCTGTGCCCCTACAGGCTCCATCCCTCTAGGAGGCCTTGGTCACTCGGTGGTGAGTTGACCACATTGGACCCTGTCAGTCATTTAAAGACCAGCTCTTCTCATGGATAGAAATGGACACAGTACTTTCCTTCCTGCAGGCCCCCAGCCACTACATTAATGAGAAGAATAGGATTCTTTTTTAAGGAGCTAGCATTTGCTAGACTGGTCTTCAGAGTTACAGCTCCCTATCATCAAGTTGATTGCAAACATTCATCTGCAAACAGCTCTCTTAGCTCATGAGCCATGCAAAACCAGCTGGTGGCTGAATGCGGCCTGTAGCCATCATTTTATATGCATCATTACTGAGTCTTATGTAACAGTACAGATGTGCCACCACATCTGTGTGTCAGGTGGCAAGAAGAAAAAGAAGGACATGGACATCAATTATTTTTGAAGGAGACTTCCGAAGTCCCACACAATACTGCTAACATCTTGCCCAGAACTTGGTCACGTGGCCACACATTCCTGCAAAGGAGGCTGGGAAATGCAGTTGTTTACTCCCATTGTTAGAACTCTCTATGAATCTTAATTTTCATCAGTTTACTTCATTTGTTAGGAGCTACTGATAGACTCAAGTAAAATTGTAATTCTCCAAAGAACTTAAAATAAAGACATTGATGTTAATTAAATATAAAACAAATACCTAATAGAGACAATCAGCCAAGCTAAAACAACTCTCTTAAGAATACAATAAAAATTGGCAAGTCTTTGGTAACATTAGTCAAGAAAAATAGGAGAAGGCATAAATAACCAAAATAGCCCATGCGAAGAGGGACAGAATTCCAGAGGCTGCGGGAGGATTCTGGTCTGGCTGGAGATGCTGGTAACTTCTCTGTCTTGCCAATATGAACTTCTTAGCATTGCTCAAAGCTGTCCTCTGTGCTCACAGCCCACCCCTCTGCTGGCGGCTTTCACATGTTCTGTTGCCCTGGTCCCTCCTTGGCCCCTCACCTCTGCCCTCTTCCATCTCACCTGTGCTGTGCTTTCAGACTCTTGCAGCCTCCAGAAGAAATCCTAGACCACTCAGCATCCAAAGCCCTTCTTGGGCTATTGCTGGTCTCTTTTCCAGCTCTATTGTCTAGTCCTAAATTAAAACACAGACGATTCTCCAAATTTCTCCTTGTAACTGCCTCCTTCCATAATCTTGCTCAGGACTCTTCTACTTTTCTTCTCAGAGAACACAAATGTAATCAAGTAAAATGTTACCATTTCTCCAAGGTTCCTGATATGGTTTGGATTTATATCCTTGCCAAATTTCATGTCAAACTATGATCCCCCATGTTGGAGGTGGGGCCTGGTGGGAGGTGATTAGATCATGAGGCGGATTTCCCCCTTGGTGCTGTTCTCTTGACAGTGAGTTCTCGTGAGATCTGGTTGTCTAAAAGTGTGTAGCACCAGCCATGCACAGTGCTGACTCCCCCTTTGCCTTCTGCCATGATAGGAAGCTTCCTGAGGCCTCCCCAGAAGCAGAAGCCACTTTGCTTCCAGTACAGCCTGCGGAACTGTGAGCCAATTAAATCTCTTTATAAATTGCCTAATCTCAGGTAGTTCTTTATAGCAGTGTGAGAACAGTCTAATACAGTCCCCAAGTTGGAAACCAGACTTCTCCCCAACTCCTATAATAATTTTTGTATCTTTTTATCTTGACATCATTTCACATACATAGAAAAGCTGCCTGAGTAATAAAAAGAAGTTCTGTGTACCATTTCCCAGATTCACAGACTACTCACATCTTGCCTTACTTTTTTCTTCCTCTGCACACATGTGTGCTTGTACGCACACACACACGCACACATACACATTTTATGAAACACATACACACATTTTATGACATGTGAGAGTAAATTAGAAACATGTTGCCTCCTTTTTCTTAAGTGCTTCTGTGTGTATGTCTTCAGACCAAGGACATTTTCTTGCATAACCACAGTGCAATAATCAAAATTAGAAATTGTAACATTGGTACAGTACTATTATCTAACCCAAAGTCTATATTCCAGTTTCATCAATTGTCCCAATATGTCCCTTATAGCTGTTGTCCCCAAACCAGGATCAATCCAGGAGCACTGGCTGCCCTTGGTTACCATGTCCCTTTGGTCTCCTTCAATTTGGATCAATTCCTCAACATTGGTTTGTCTTTCTTACAGGACTGTGAATGGATTTGTCTCACAGACCTTAACAATTGCTCCCTCATATAATGGTTATTTATGTACATTATTCATGTCCCTTGCCAACCATTCGACTCATCTGAGGGGTGATCAGTGTGTGGCACAACTTTCAAGCTTGCCCAGCATTTCCCAAAGTGCCTGGCACATTCTAGATTTGTTACGAACAAAAGGACAGCTGTCCCAGTATTTGGAGAGGTTGCTTTGTAGGAATACTTCCTAGCTCCAAAGAATCTGTCTCAATTAATGGTGCACCTGGAAACTGAAGATGATTCCTACATTTTGATAAAGAAGGTGGTGGGCCAAGGAGAAGAGAGAGATTTTTTAAATATTTCCATAAAATTGAGAGCGAAGAGCACAAAGCAAGACCACTCAGGCCTTAGTCCTTGTCCTGTGCTGTGGACTCCATGCCCTGCCCCAAGCAGTCTCAGGAGCAGACGTGTCAACCTTCCTTCACAGAGGAGTTTAGTCTATGTTTAGTCTCTTTTTTTGAACTGGATCTTTTCTATTAACATTTAAACATGTTCATGCCTCTTTCACCTTAAAATAAAAGCCCTCACTATACTTCAGTTGTCCATCTTTCCCAGTGACTCTATCGGTAGTTATGAACAAGAATGGCATCGGTGTCACCAAACTGAAGGGATGTTTTCCAGACCTTAGCTCACTTGGCCTTCAGCACTATTAAACCCTCTCCATCACGGACTTCAGAAAACACTCTCTTATTCTGGCTTCTCAAGACACCGCGCCCTGGGTCTCCTCAGACACCGCGCCCTGGGTCTCCTCAGACACCGCGCCCTGGATCTCCTCAGACACCGCGCCCTGGGTCTCCTCAGACACCGCGCCCTGGGTCTCCTCCTGCCTCTGCGGTCACATCTATGTTTCCTGTGAGTCTCCTTCTGCTCAACCCAGCCATTAAATATGAGCCTCCTCTGTGTGTGGAGCCTTCTCTTTGCACTTGCTACTCTCTCCCTCCTCATGTCAGCCTTGTCCATGGCTTTAACTGACACATATGTAAATGACTGAAATTTACACACCCAGGCCTGCCTTCTCCCTAGAGCTCCAGACCAAATATCTCACTGCTTCTTTGATGTCTCCATTAGTGCGTCTCAAAGGCACCCTAAACTCAACATGGCTGGATTGGTTTCCTAGGGGTGCAATAACCAAGTACCACAGACTTGGGGGCTTCAATAGCAGAAATGTGTCCTTTCACGATTCAAGAGGCCAGTAGATCAAGGTGTGGGCAGAGGTTGACAACTGTTCTACCCAGTGAGGCACAGGCAATGTGTTAGCTGTGGGTTGGCTGTCATCACCGGGTCAGGGATCTGATGGGTTTTGGATGTCCCATTGCAGGCAGAGCCACAGTGAAGTCTCTTCCCTCTCTCTCAGCCTGAGGGACTGAAGCTCCCCCTTCCCCAGACCTGAATGGAGAATGAACAAGTGTCAGCCCCCACTGAAGACCACACAGAAAAAGACATGAGACCTTGGGGAGGGGAGTGAGGAGGAGAGAGCAGAGAATGAGGAGATTGAAAGATCTGAGGGGTGGGGGTAAGAAGGTACAAGAGGAAGGGCACCCCCAAAATCCAGAATTAAGGCACCCCATTGTGAGCTGCCCGTGAGTCCAGGGCAAGTACAGAGAACAGCAAATAAGGTAGAGAATCCAGCCCTGTATTTGCAAAGTGCTGTGATGGACGGGCCTCTAGGCCAGCGCAAAGAATGACTAATGCTTTTTTGGATGTGTGTGCCCCGGCCGGCCCCCCCACCCTGCTTCTCCTCCAGGCAGCACCCTTGCCTTTGGCCAATGTGGACTGCAGGGAGCCGGTGTGGACGGTGGGGTCAAAGCCTGGGGGAAACCAGCTTGGTCTGAGAATGCCTTTGTGGCTGGCCTTGCCACCTCTCCTCTCCCTGACATGAAGCTGATATATCCTTAGGGCCATTTGTTCCTTTCTTCAGAACACTGATCACAGTGGACACTCTCATTTATTTGTGTGATAATTGTCCTATTTCTGGCTCTTTGAAGGTCATGGGTAACTGGGGGCTGGTTTTTTTCTCATTGTTTCAATTCTCATGCATATTAATTAGTCCCTTAAAAAGTATTCATTGTCTGATAACTAAATAAATAAATTGATTTACTCTTTTCTGTGAAGACATTGGCTACTATGGCTATTTTGAAATATAAGGGAATAAATATATTTAGCCAAGAAAAAGCCATGAAACATACTTTCCAATTACAGATAATATTCATCCTAAATATGTAACTGTAATTTCTCAAGGAATGAAAAAAATTATTTTAAAAAACTCTTGACCAGACACGGTGGCTCATGCCTGTAATCCCAGCACTTTGGGAGGCCAAGACGGGAGGATTGTGAGGTCAGGATATCGACACCATCCTGGCTAATACCCCGTCTCTACTAAAAATACAAAAAATTAGCCAGGCGTGGTGGCGGATGCCTGTAGTCCCAGCTACTCAGGAGGCTGAAGCAGGAGAATGGCATGAACCCAGGAGGCGGAGCTTGCAGTGAGCATAGATTGCGCCACTGCACTCCAGCCTGGGTGACAGAGCAAGACTCCATCTCAAAAAAAAAAAAAAAAAAAAAAAAAGAACAAAAACTCTTAAAAGGATGTAAGTTTATATTTATTAAAATATATTTTTCTCACGTGGCATGTTTTATTCTGAAACTCAGGGCATCATCTTGTTTTAGATGCACGTGTTAACACCTCAGTTCTGTGTTCTGATCCAATCTGAGTGAACGGGAAAATTTAACCCATTCACTTTAAATATAATAAAGTGAAGGAGTGATGAAAGAATGCCAACAAGGACAGGCTGTGTTCTGTTCAAAAGAAGGTGAAGTTGTCTGAGATTACAGCAGCCTGATTTTGTCAATTTCCCCATTGCTAAGGCCCCAGTCCCCTTCCAGTTTCCAACTGAGGCCCACAGCACTTTTGACTGAGCCCAGTTGATTTTTCAGAGTCACCAGCCTCCTTCCCTGAGATAATCCCCTCCCTCCATCTTTTCCTCCCATTTCCTGGCACCCAGAACTTTCACATTTCATCCTGTATCAAAATGGTGTGCTCAGAAAAGGATGCAACTTTCAAAGGCCTAGAGTGACCAGCTTAGCAACTGAGAGGCTTAGCAGCTTCTCAGGAACTTACATTTAAGCTTTGAGACGAATTATGGAATCAACACCTTTGTTTCCAAGTAAAAAATTTTCTAGATCAAGCAAGCGATATTTTGGAGATTAAACTGTAACTACAGTTTAGCATACTGATACTTTTTAAACAAATAGCAATATCATGAGTTTTCACATTATTATTATTATTGTTATTATTATTATTTTGAGATGAAGTCTCGCTCTTTCACCAGGCTGGAGTGCAGTGGCGCGATCTCAGCTCACCACAACCTCCGCCTCCCAGGTTCAAGCAATTCTCCTGCCTCAGCCTCCCTAGTAGCTGAGAGCTTTTCACATTATTAAAGATTCTTTGAATACAGGATTCCAGACATAGATATTTTATTGGACTTCCCCTCAAACAGAGACTTATTAAGAATCCAGTCCAGGCATGGTGGCTCATGCCTGTAATTCCAGCACTTTGGGAGGCCGAGGGTGGTGGATCACTTGAGGTCAAGAGTTTGAGACCAGCCTGGCCAACATGGTGAAACCCTGTCTCTACTGAAAATACAAAAATTAGCTGGGCATGGTGGTGTGTGCCTGTAGTCCCAGCTACACAGGAGGCTGAGGCAGGAAGAACTTCTTCAACCCAGGAGGCAGAGGTTGCAGTGAGCCGAGATGGTGCCACTGCACTCCAGCCTGGACAACAGAGCGAGACTCCATGTGAAAAAAAAAAAAAAAAAAAGAATCCATTTGGTTGATCCCAAGAATCCCATAAACAAGACAGTGTCTGAATTGTGAAGCTATATTAGCCTCCACAACACTGTTCAGTTGATTTGCTTATTACAAAATGAGAAAAGAGGGCATACTTTCTCCCCAGGCCCCTAGGCAAGATTTGGTCACAGCACATAGCAAAGGGAATTTCTCTTTGGTGACTATTCAACAGGATGAATTCCTGCTATCTATGATCAGCTACGTATTGACATCAGGGAGGGTTCGGGGCACAGAATGCTCTCAGTGCTTCATTTTGGCTACATATCTCCCTCTATCAAGTTTCTAGTGTCAGAACAAAATTTGTAGACATTGCTTGGATGATCCAGATAATTAACTGGCAACGCTGAAATTCCCAAAAAATAAAGGCTTTTGTGCTACTGTCTTCTACAACAATACAATGATCAAAATGCATAGCAGGAGCAACTGGTAAATGAAAAGGAAAACAAAACTTTAGGTCAGGTATTCCAGTGTGTCCTTGGGACACCTCAGTGAGCATGTGGCCTCTATGTGCACATTAACTGCTTCTTACATCACAAGGAATTTACTGACATCCTTCACTGAAGGTCAAGATCATGCGGCTTCTGGTAGCCTCGCCACATGGTGCCAGGAGTCTCCAGTCATGGAGTTCATAATGGAGCCCCTCCCGCAGGGGCTGGCAATGCCACAGAAAGTTTTCTCAGGCTATTTTGGGAATCGTATTCCCAGCGAGAAATGAGGAAGGCAGACTCACGTGAAACTGGAAAGGATGTGGGGAGAAAATAACTTACTAAACGTCGTGGGGCTGGAAAGGAAGAAGGAGTACACAAGTTCAGGCTTATTATTATTATTTTTTTAATGGGAGAAAGGCTGTAGGAGTCATTCTGTGTACTCACCTGGGTCCTGAGGGAGGAGCTGTGCTCACAGGTGTGGTGTGGATGCATGGCACTCATGTTCCCACCCTCCTCCCAATCCGGCTAGATGTCCTGGCAGACCCCAGACTGGGTTTATGTTTGTGGAGTTTATGGGACTTTAGTTATTGGCTAAAAGAGGAAAATTTCAGGAAATGAAGTGTTTTAGTGCCTCCAAAAGAAGCCAGGAGCAGTGGCCAATGCTGGAGCTGGGATGGCGTCCGTCCTGCCAGACCTGAGGTTTGGAGTGCCTGGGGGAAAGGGGACAAACTGGAAACTGAAGGAACTCTGTGCAAGACTCTGAGACGTGGAGCAGAAGCTTCATGGCCAGGTGGCAAGACAATGCAGAGCCACCTGGAAGCCAGCTCATCCACCCTCCACCCGGAGGTCCAGGACCAGGGCTCTGGTGCCCTGACAGCTCCAGGCAGCACAGAGCCAGACAGGAGAAGGGTGGAGGCAGCCACCTGCTTAGGGACATACTAGCTGCAGGGCCGATGGGGACACTCAGGACCCCAAAGCAGGACCACAGGTCAGGCTCACTTCGGAGGGTGCAGGGAGGCCCCGCCATGGTGGGGAGGCCTGTGGGGTGGTGGGAGGCAGGCTGGGAGCTGATTCAGCGGGTAAGAGCGGAAAGCCCTCAGCCCTCATAACATAGGCAGACCTGCCAAAATAATATCATTTCCTCCTAAAGGCTGGAGAGCCCTAGAACATTCAGTCTAGATTCTCATATCAAAAGCAGTTGTGTGGGCTTATCTTAAGAGACCCTGATGAGATGGAATACAACCATTCTCCCTTGAGGGAAAAAACAAAACAAAACACAAATAGGCACTCTGTGTGTCAGGGTGAAGTTTAGGGGCTTCTTTTAAATAGTCCTCCCCTTCTGGCCCCCCAAAATCCCCAGGAACTGAATCTGCATCATAGAAAGTAGTTCCATGAGGCCAGTGCCTCCTGCGGGCAACCTGCCCCCAAGCCTCACCCTCAAAAAAATGTTAAACACAAAACATCAAGAACAACACTTAAATTGAGGCCTGGTTTGGGCAAAAGACTCTAGCTGTTTGCCATGGGAAGGCTTCCTTCCTTTCCGTATTTTTAGAGGACAAAGAAGGAAAAAGGATTCTACCTTTATTTTTATATCAAAACATATTTTTTCCAGGGGCAATGTAGTAGGCTGAACAGTATATCAGCGCAAAAGATACATCTACACCCTCACCCTTGGAAGCTCTGAATGTGATTTTATTTGGAAAATGGGTCTTTGAAGATGTAATTAAGTTAAGGATCTCAACATGAGCTTATCCTGAATTATGCAGGTGGATCCTAAATTCAATGCCAAGTGCCTGAGCTGCACAGAGGAGAGAAACACAGGGAGAAGAGGAGAAGGCCATGGGGAGATGGAGGCAGAGAAGGGAGCCATGCAGCCACAAGCCCAGGAATGCCTGCAGCCACAAGAAGACAGAAGAGGCTGGGAACAGACCCTCCCCTAGAGCCTCAGGAGAGAGAACAGTCCTGTTGACACCTTGATCTTGGGCTTCCGTCCTCCAGAACTATGAGATAATAGAGGTCTGTTGTTTTGAGCCAGGAACTGGGTCTTCTTTACATTTTAGCCTACACTCTTCATCCTTCCCTGTCATTCAGTCCTGTTCAGGAGACGGCAAAAAGCTTTCTGATGTTTTTATTTGTGACTCTCCCTCAAAGCTAATTAACACAAGAGTGAACACTGAAATAACTGAAGTTTGAACTGAGTAGCCGAAGAAATGAAATACATTGTGAGAAGCCTCAGTTTCAAATGCCAGCAGCCCCACCAGAGGACTTGGCTGATGACAGGCATGCCTGAAGTTCGGTGAGATTTATTATACCATTCAGGAATGGCCCATTTCACCATCCCCATGGGAACTCTTAACACTTTTGAAGTCGGGGGAGGCATAAAAAACGTTAGAAGCTCAGAGATGGGGGAAAGCTGGTATTCTTGTCACACATGGTTGAGTCAGGAGACACCGCCCAAGGTTCCTAGGACAAGAAATCAAGATTTAATAACTTTATTTAAACACATAACTCAAAATTATCTGTAGCAGTAAAACACTTAGAGGACTATAGGGAAAAATTGATTATGTTTTTCAGAAAGGAGTCACTAGATACTATCAAGGGTTACTAAACAAGAAACAGAAGCCTAGGCTTATTATTCCACATTACAGCAGTAACTTTCAAGAGGACTGAAAACTGAAATTATTAAAAAATGGTCAACCCTGGGAAGTGGCACTGAGGAAGGGGAAGGGTTTGTGAAAGTCGTCAAAATCAAAATGGAGTCACTTGTGTTAAACAAAACAAAACACCCTGACAGACAGAACTGGGAAGGCAATGAAGAGAGGGTTCTTACACTTTGTATGCCTGATAACAAAACTCTCACAAAAGATTCTGCAGAAACCACAACCTTGCACAAAGGCCATTGCAACTTACACAGAAAATACTTCTGCGGGGACATCTGTTTAGCAGCTGCCTGTCCAACCTTGGACAGACGTCAGCCTTGTGATTGATCCTTGTAGCCAAGGATAATCATTTGAAAGCAAGTGTGTCATCCTCTTAATCTTTCCTTTAAAAACCTGTCTTCCTTTACCTCCCTGAATATGCATATAGTTTACCACGGTGCACGTATTCCCACTGCAATGCCCTAGTCCTGAGGAAGCCTCTTTTTCCTTTAGAGAGCCTCTGTTATTTAAGGTGACAAGTTGCATGATAGGCTGTTGTTTTCCATATTTCCTTTTATATCATTTAGTTTTCATATGCATGTATTATTTTAACGAAATGTTTCAAAATAAAGTAATCCAACAGTAAAATATGTTTCCAAAGTAGAGATGGAGGGAGAGTGAAGAAGGAGTAGAGGAGGCTGGAGAGCCATAGAATGGGGCCCCTCTTTCCTAGTCCCGGGTATCAGGTACCAGCTCCCAGAGAGGACAACTTGTAATGGACTGCAGAGTTCCCAAAAGGTCTCTGGTGTCACAGGGCCCCTGCTTGTGCCTATGCCTGAGGGCCCACATTTCATAAGCCACCTTTGGCACACTGGGGAGCGTCCATGCCAAGCTTGGCTTGGCTCACAAATCCGTGAAGACTGGGAATATGGGGGGATTTAAAGATTGACGTAAATCATCCAGGATGCTTTTTGTCCAAGAGTAGAAGTGCTGATGATGTCTAACTGGTCTTGATTTCGTTTGAAAAGGTATCCCTACCATTAGTATCTGTAGCAAGTGGCATGGCACGTTGCCAGCATTCATGGACTTGCAAGGCAGCCAGAAAATGCCGGGGTAAATTTGGAGTTGGAAGAGGTTTAATTTTTTTTATTAGAAAGGGGTAGAGAAGAGAGAAGTCATTTCCATCTAGTTCCACACAGTTTCCTCTCCCTCTCTCGCTCTCTCTCACTCTCTCTGCCTCTCTCCATTTAAAATTTATTTCAAAGATGGGTTTTGGAAGGCAATTTTGATTATGTAGGGGATATGTAGCTATGTCTGTCAAAGACAAAAAAAAAATGAACCCTTTCACTAGGTACTGGAGAAGGCTGTGCTCGGAAATGCAAGGCACTATCTACCACTCAACAATTTTGGGGGTAAAAATCTCACTTTTTGTATTCTTCACCAAGTTTGTTCAAGAATTCAGGCATTTGCTGTTTACCATCTAAAGCCCATAGGAGCAATGAGGACAGCTTCTCTACAAGATTCGGGAGACAAGGGAGAGTGGATGACAGCAGCTGTGATCTCCTCCGCATTCCTCAGGGCAAGTTCTTCTTGGGAAAATGTAAATTAATTTGCAAATGTAGAGCCAGGAACCTGGGAAATTAATCACTAATGCTGATACAGACCTGGAACACATAAATATAGAAAGGACTCAGAGCTCTAATTTGGGAGTAAAAAACCTGGGTTTAAATTCCAACTCTGCTTCTTAGTGGTGGCTTATTTGTTTGTCTGAACTTCAGTCTCTGAAAAAGAAGAAAGCAGAATGACCAGGTGCAGAAATCACTGGCTTTAGAATCTGATGGACTTGTATTTGAATTCTGGATTTGTGTGGATTTACCCTCTCTGAATCCTGGTTTACCCTATGAAATTGGGCATAAAGATTAAAGGAGACGAAGTGTGCAAAAATATTGGGGACAGTGTAGTGAATATTCCACCAGAAGAGGTAAGAGCTGAGGAGGTAAAAATAAAATAAAAGTCTGCCTATGAAAGTGAGGTAGGAGAAAGAGGGAGGAGAGGTGGGAAGGACTGAAAGTGAGAAAGAATCCCGATTTTGAGGACATGACTGGGAAGAAGACTCTCAGTTGTTCCTTGTCTTAGCAAAATTAAAGGTCCATTGGCTTAATGATATAAGTAGATCAGATATGATGAGTCACCATATATTTTGGGGTCCATTTGCTACTGCAGCTATGCCTACGCTGCTATTGATGACAACTGGAGCTGAGGGGTAGTGGAGATTGCCCAAGGGGAGTTTGTAGGAGAGCAATTTGGACAGAACCCCATGGAATGCCCGAGTGAGAGGAGTGGACAGAGGGAAAAAGAACCCACTAAGATGTCTGAGGAGTGGGCTTTGGGGCCGTTCAGAAGCCAAGGGAAGAAAGTGGCCCACAGAGTGGTTGCACATTCTTTAAGGAGGAAGGTTCAATGGCATGAAACACTGCCAGGGATACAAGTAATGACCTTGCCAGAAGGAGGTCTTGAACAATCGTGTCAAGATAGTGGCATGGTGAGGACAGGGTAAGTGGACACGGTGGGGTAATGAGGGCAAGGGGAGAAGTGGTAGTTGCAGGAAGATGTGCTTTCTTCCTTCTTCTTTTCTTTCTTTTCAGTTCTTTCCTTCATTCCTCCTTCTTTTTCTTCTTTGAGCAGAGGCCATGTTTAAATTCTAATGAAAAAAGGGAAATTAAAGATACAGGCAAATAATTTCCAAAACTCTCATCTACTGTCCAGGTGGCTGTCTCCTTCCAGGTGTCTTGTGTCCAGGTGGCTATCTCATGTCCAGGTGGCTGCCTCATGTCCAGGTGGTTGTCTCATACCAGGTGGTTTTCTCATACCCGGTGGCTGTCTCATACCAGGTGGTTGTCTCATGTTCAGGTGGCTGTCTCATGTCCAGGTGGCTGTCTCATACCAGGTGGCTGTCTCGTGTCCAGGTGGCTGTCTCATGTCCAGGTGGCTCTCTCATATAACAAATTTGTTGCCAACCCAATGGCTCCCTCTGGGTGTCCCTTGGACACTTGAATTTCAACATGTCTAAAACTGGCTTTCCTGTTTTTTCTCCCAGTCTCTTGCTTCTCTTATCCTCCTGCCTGGCTCCACCATCCATCCTCCCAATGGCCAAGTCAGATGCCTATGGACCACCAAAAAATCCAACTTCTCCCTCCCCACACAGTGCTGGCTTGCTGCCTCTTAACACCCACTGTCACCCCTTAGTAGGTGTCCTCACTGTCTCTCCAGGGACTACTGACAGAGTTTTCTGAATGGCTACCTTGTCTATATCCTCATTTCCTTAAGATCTTTCCGCAATTAAATAACGTAGTCTTTCAAGGAATTCTTCTCCTTTGGGATTCCAGCTGTAGGAGAAGGTTTGTAGCATTCCAAATGTGATGTGGCTTTCTTGTCTTTACCTGTTTGCATTCATCATCCTCAGCCTGGAGTGGCTTCTTATCCTCATGGCTCAGACCCAACTCCAGGGCTTAGTCTTTTCTGATTCCCAGACAGAACTGAGGACCACCTTTCCTTTGTCTGGGGACAAAACTAGTATTCTGATCTGACTTCATATATCTCTCTGTTCCTTCTATCCTACAGAGCACATTCTTTCAGGGCAAGGATAATATCTTATTAACCTCCGTACGCCTAGTAGCTGGTTCAATAGTAGGAGCTCCATGAATGAACAAATGAATGCATAAATGAATAAATTAAATGAAGAAGATAGGGATAAATGCAGTTTTGTGGTACTGATTCTTCATCCCACTTTTTAGGTTCAGATCCTTTACTAGGCAGAAAGCCCCCAGATCATATTGTTACTCTCTGGGCTCATTCCTCTTATTGCCCATAGGACATCTGCCATAAAAGGGCCTGCATGTTGGCTGCATTTCCCGTGGTTTGCCCCTAGGAACCACTAGTCTTTCAAGATGTTCTGTGAGAAAAGGATACCAAGGTCACAATAACTTTTGGAAACAGTGTGTACCCTTCCCTTCTTGGGAAGAAGTTTTACAGTAAAAAGCTTAGTTTAGTCGCCCAAGGCCTCCCAAACATGTTTGAAATGGAACCCTTTTTTCTTCAAGTCACATCTTGAAGTTTTAACATCTCCTAAAGTTCGCAAACGCCGTGCTGTCATCGTCTTTCAGTTTACTAACATGGTGGGCTGGCTCTAGTTAAGATAGCCCACTGGATTCCTGTGCAGTGACTCGGGCAGTCTTCTGAAAACAAAATGGCTATGAGTTTTCAACAGATTTCTGCTTTTCAAATGCACAATATATTTTGAGTTTATGACATGTTTTATAAATTGATTATTTTTTTCTCAATTAGGAACATCTATGCTTATCTAAGAGATTCCCTTTATTTTATGAGGTTTATATTCTTTTTGGTAGAAAACATTTTGTTCCACCTTAACTGTTTGAGGATTAATAAAGTAAGATGTATAAATGTTATTATTTTGATTTCTTAATTGAAATGTAATTTAAAGTTGGGTCTTGCTGCCTTTTGGGGCTTCGTGCCGGGCACCTGAAGGAAAGACAAATTAAATTATTCTCCAACGTGCTCTGGATGGTGAGCCTCAAACCTGAATATTTTGTGTTTTGAAATTTGAGTTTTCAGAGTCAGAAATTTAGAGTATATCCATACAGATATCCTAGAATAAAACATATACTTCTTATTTAAAAGTAAAGTTTAAAGATACTTTATCATTGAAATCATCCATCCATCTAGTTGATTTCTACAGGTGAGCTAGCATAATTAAATCATTTTCCTTTCATTTCCATTAATATTGGCTTTTCTGAAAGGATAACAGGAATCTCAAATTCTGTTATAGAGCTGATATTTAAAAGTTCAATTTCGCCATTTTTCCAAACCCAATTTTCTAAGTATTTTGATTAATTAATGCTATGTATACATCATACTTTCAGCCATCTGAAAAGTCATTCCTAGGGCATTTCATGAGTGAAGATTATGCCAGTGCTTCAGACATCACATCTGTAAAAAGATTTTTGATATTCTCTAACGGAGATTTCACAGTCATAAAATATCCAAGTGGAAAGATTTTTCAAATCAGTTTGTCTACCGCTATATCTGAGGTATAAAAATGCACCCCCATTGAACAAAAGTCTGCCAACAACACAAACTGAGGATCTTTTAGGTTGCATCTATATGATACCTGCAAGGGCAATGAGGCCATAAATCAACTCTCACTCTGGCAAGTTTCCTTTGTAAAGTTGTTGTGTTGGCATCACCAGCTCATGACAGGCTGCTCAGAAGCACATCCGAAAACGTCAGTGGAGCAATAATTAGCAACCGCGTCAGGCATTTGGGCCCATTTTGATAATGTGAGATCATGGCTTTCCTGCTCTTGGATGAACAAAAAATAATGGTGTTTGGAAACCACAGAAGACCTAATTTATTTTGTTCACTTGGGTATGGGGGAAGGTGTGATTAGATCAAATCATTTTTTAAAAAAGAGGTGCAGAAAATATGGATATTCTAAACTCATAATCAAATGAGTCGTTGGGTTTTCCTCAAAATGATTCAGAGAGCTAAGGAATTATTTGTAGAATATCTAGTGATATGTCCTGCACTACACTGGGCATTTTTCACACAAGAGAAATATAGAATACAGTGCCTGTGTTCAATAAGATTAAGGACACAATAATAACTTATTTAACACAATTTTTAAAAAGTACTGGTTAGGTGCAGTGGTTCATGTCTGTAATCCCAGCACTTTGGGAGGCCAAGGTGGGTAGATCACTTGAGCCCAGGAGTTTGAGATCGGCCTGGGCAACATGGCAAAACCCCGTATCTTCCAAAAAATATGACAATTAGCTGGGTGTGAGAACACACACCTATAGTCATAACTACTTGGGAGGATTGCTTGAGCCTGGGAGGTGGAGGTTGCAGTGAGCCAAGATCATGGCACTGCACTCCAGCCTGGGCAACAGAGAGAGGCCCTATCTCAAAAAAGAAAAAAGAAAAAGGCTGGGGGAACTTCCTGCTAAGGGTATGCTATTGAATGTTAAGTGGTTTGACGTGAGCATAAATATTTAGGAGTTAAGAGAAACAAGCAGAATTTAGGAAAGAGGCATGAGGGAGGTGAGATTAAGTGCAATTTGGAAATGGCAAGAATTTTGAAAAACAGTTAACATTGATCAAACCCTTCTTTTTTTCTGACTCTATGATGAGCAGTGGACTTACAGGGTTTCTTTTGTTTCTCCCTACAGTTCTACAGGGTTGATACTGTTATTTATCCCCATGTTACCAAAGAGGAAATGAAATGCAAAGAGGGTGAGCAATGTGTCTGACACATAGCAAATGAATGACAGAGGTGGAATTTCAGAGCAGCTTCTAGCAGTTGGCCGCTTGGCCACCTTGCTGCAATAGCTAGCTATGTTGATCTACAGGGAGTGGGTATAGATATGATATGGGTATAAATGGAGATGTAGATATTAGATGTGGTGTGAACGGGAGACAGTGATAAGAGAGATCATCTCAGATTGAAGAGAAGGATTAAGCACATGTATGAAGTGGGAATTGGCATGGGCTTGGGGGTGGTGATGAAAAGACTGACTGATAAAGAGGGCTTATCTTGCGAGGGGTCACATGATTGGGGGATGGGTTATGGAGGCCCCAGTGGGTTAGTGTTAGCATGTGACAGGAAGTGTTGGCTAGTCTAGAATGAAGATTCAAGTGTGTAGTTGTTGATCAAATAGGTGACCACCATACTTTTTCTGTGGGCTTAGGGCACACAGAATATTTAGGGACACGAGCCTAGATGCCAGGGATATCCCCTGATTTGATTGGAGTCCAGGAAACCTTTGGGAGAGAACTCGAACTCTGACTGTACTTGGGGTTCAGACATGCCAATCTGAGGGATAAACTGGAGCTGGGAGCAGTGGGAACCTGTGGGGGGCTGGAAGGGAAGTTCGTCCAGTTCCCTTTCACTCCTATCCAGAGAACAGAGGCCCCTAGTGAGTGTGCACTAAGAGATGTGAACCTGCTGTTCCTGGCATTCTCAAGCCTCCCACGTGTACACATCACCAATTGAATTGTTTACTTTCCAGCAAGATGATTCCTGTGCTCAAGCCAATGGCTTCATCAAACCCCTGACCAGAGAACCCATGATCTGTTCTCATTCTGGATACCGAAAAGGCATTCAACTATGATTCTTAACCATGTACTATTTTCTTCTTGTGCTCTGACTTAATAACTTGCCTATGAGTAAAATGCACATCCACAGTACACATGAGACACCCACACCCATCCTTGTCCTAGAGATTCCTAGAAAGGTACAAGAAGTGCAGAAAACTGTCAAAATGATGTTTGGGGAATTATAAAAATCAGTCCCTGGGAACTCCCAGAGACGTTTGAGTGTGAGACCACCGCGAGGACAGGGCTTCCTGCAGGACTGAAGAATGACCACTACTGAGGTTCACACGGAGATGTTGAAGGGGTTGCATTTGTAAGCACAGACAGTGATGCCCCGGAGAGCAAGGTATTAAATACAAACTGTTCGGAGGTACATTTAGGTGTGTTGTGGGATGTGCACACACAAGCCCTATGCACCATGCTGTATTGTTGTATTCATTAAGCAAAGATAGCAAGTCTTTTGCAGTAAGATCACTAATTAACACCAGTAACTAAAACAGTAAAAGAGTAGAAGAAACACAAACATTATTTTTTTCAGTAATGGCCTTCTTATAAGACTTCGGCTTGGGGAAATATGCTTGGTCACCATATTTGTAAAACTTGTTTCTTTGCCCATTCATCTTTAGATGAATGCTTATTTCAAAGCAGAAGAAACCCATAGCTGTGGCTTCCATTTCACTTGTCCTCTGTGTTATACCTAAGGTCACAGTCACAGCAGGTTGTAGACCACCCTCAAGCTACAGATGGGTTGGACTTCAAGAATACAGTTGTGAATTGATTCTCTATAACACAGAAGCATTTCCCTATAGAAACAATGCTAGGAAAGAAGCCTCGACTCTCAGGCCAGCCTGTAAAACTCTATTTAGCCCCCTGAGCTCTGAAGTGTCCCAAGAGCCCCCGTGCACCTGTAAGGCTGAAGATAGAGCAGACCTGGGAGGCGGGGCTGGATCTGGAATTCAGGGGCTGCCATGTCTGTTAAAGGAGGAGCACCAGGGTATGATCAATTTTGCAAAGTTTTTCAGGACTGGTTGTCCTGCTGTGTATCATCACTGAAAAAACAAAACAAAACAAAATGACTTTTTGTTCTGAAGTAGTTCAAGACTCACAAGAAGTTGCTAAAATAGTACAGAGGGGTTCTATCTACCCTTCAGTCAGCTTCCTCAATGACCATGTCTTTCAGAAGCAGAGTGCCTTGTCAGAATCAAGAAGCCGACGTTGATACAATGCTATTATCTCAGGTAGAGAGTTTATTTGGATTTGATTTATTTCCTTTTTTCTCCCTAATCAAATACAGTGCTCTGGAATTATTTTTCAAGTGTTATAAATGCTAAAAATCTTTATTTTTGCAACAAAAGCTTCCATTCTTCACTGTAGAAAAACTTTACTGACAATGTTATTTGAATGAAGACTGGGTAGGTTTTACATTCATACAAATTAATTTCAATATAAATAAAGCAATTTTTTAAATGTGTAGAATATACTGTAACCAAAAGGAGATTTATGAAATGAAGGATTTAAAAAATGAATTTGAGGCAGTGTGTTTATCACAGTGCATGGGCCTGGGCCCTATTTCCACTGTTGCTATAAACTGAGTAAAGTTGCTTTAGTTGAGTCATTTAATCTCTTTGGTCCTTAATTACTTTATTGTAAAGCAAGGAAATTAGATTACATGGCTTCTAAAACTTCTTTCAATTAAATAAAAATCCTAAGATACCTTCATGTCTAAGATATTATGTAGAGATCATTGTAGAACGCATAAAATGGTTTTATTTTTTTAAAAAAATACTAGAACTTAATTGAAAAGAAAAAATGCCTTGTCAGAACATAAAAGTCATGGGGAAAGTTGGAAAGAAAATGTAAAGGTGTCGCGAGTGTCCAGGGTACCAGGAGACCTGTGGGTGACCCAGAGCAGCAGGAAGGGCTGGCTGTGGGGCTCCACGAGGGAGCCACTTCAGCCCACATGACATTTGTACGACTGATGCCAACATTTCCAAGCCTCAGTGTCCACACTTGTGAAAGGCTGGCAGCCCCCATCAGTGTGGTTCTGAGGATTACAGGACCACAATATGTCCAGCACACAGCAGGGCCCCTGGCACAGAGCCCATTCCGTGGAGGACAAGGAGGGCCTAACCCGTGGGAATGAAGTATAGCCTGGGAAGAGTGCGAGTTGAACGATGCAGAGGGAACCGGGGAGCCAGCCTGCCTTTGACAGTGGCTGCTAGCTTAAGTGGGGAGCCCCTGGTTTCTGAGGAAACCCCTGAGGGGAACATGTTGCCATGCTTGGGTGTGGCTGGAACCTGGGCACTGACCGGGCTGAACTGAGGAATGTGAGTGGGCTTTCTCACAAGAGGTTGGAGAGGCACTCTCGGTCTCAACGGGCTCTGAATTGCAGAAAGCCAGAAATGCACAAACCAGAGCTCTCTCATTCATGTTTAGGAAAGGCAAACAGGTCCCACGTACCCTTTATCTCACAGTAAATCTGAGATCAGAATTTGGACTGTGGATTCTAGGGAGAACCTAAGATATCTTAATATAAAAACAAAACAACACTTTGGTGACTTGCTGCTCATACTAGTTTCTTATCCATGAACTCTTCTCTTCTGCCATTCTCCTGGGCTTTTCTCTGAATGTTTACAGTAGCATCTCAGATGGAGTCTTCCCATTGCTGCTACTCAATATAAATTGTAAAATTATCTAGACAATTAGTTACATAAAACAAGAATAAAAGACAGTTAAAACAGAAATATTTGTATATACTCCTGTCATTTACATCAAATTTCCTAATGATATTCTTGTTCCCCTTCTGTTTCTTTGGGACTCATTATAAAAAGTTTTCCTTTTAAATTTTTCAGATGGATTTCACCTTTTCATGTTTAAGACATAGCTTTAAAATCTTACAAAACCAAATATTTCAGGCTGGGCACAGCGGTTCCTACCTGTAATACCGGCATTTTGGGAGTCTGAGGTGGGAGGATCGCTTGAGCCCAGGAGTTCAAGATCAGTCTGGACAACCTAACAAAACTCCATCTCTACAAAAGATACAAAATGTAGCTGAGTGTGGTGGTATTTGCCAGTGGTCCCAGCTACTTGGGAGGTTGAGGTGGAAGGATGGCTTGAGCCGAGGAGTTTGGGACTGCAGTGAGCTGTGATTGAGCCACTGCACTCCAGCTTGGGTGACAGAGTGAGACCCTATCTCAAAAAAAAAAAAGAAAAAAGAAAAGAAAAATTTTTGAATATTTCATCTTCCAGTGTTCTACAAACTGCCTCAGAAAACCTGCCTTAGTTTGTACAGGTTTTGTACAAATATGTACAAACTGCGCGAAAAATAACCTGGATGGCCATAATTTATACATTTTGGTTTCATGATAAAGGAAAATAACTTGAATCCGCTGCATTTTACAACCAGGAAATGGTCTAATGATCTTAATTTTATTGTATTTTGAGGAAGAAATCATTTATTGGTTTATACCACAATGAGAAATTATGATTTGACTCAGAAAAAATCACTTATAATTAAAAAATACAAACAAAAACTAATTGCAAAAGTAATCTACAAGTAGAATGGCGACTGTAATTTAAAATTTTTTTTAAGTATCCCATTAATACTTTTCACAAAAGTTTACATCAAACCTTCACAGTGTTATAAGTGAACCTGCCTACTTTAACAGTGTTAGGAATTTCAGTCTTAGCATTTATTGTGCCAAATCCAATGACTTCTGAACCCAGCACTATGGGCTTAGCATTGGACAGGCTCTGAGCCTGGAAGGTGAAGATTGGTCACATCAGGGTAAAAACAGTTTAATTCGACTCTTATACAACCACATGTGCAACATTATTTGGATAGTGATCCTCTGCACGTAGAGATGAAGCTTCATATTCCATTTTAAGATTTCTACAACACAAGCAAACATAGAAGGCCAAAAAATCCAGGTTTCCAAATTGTTAGAAACCACATCTGTATATGGTTAGAATGGAATATTCTAAGAGAATTTCAGTAGCTCTGTGGGAAAAAAATGTGATTCATTAGATGAGGCACTTTATGATGTGACTTAAGGGACAGGATGCCTGCCCTAAGAGTTGTGGAGGCCGATGAGGAGTATTGTGGCAATGTGGTGCTTCTCCAGCTGCATTGATCAGTGGAAGGTTGACCACCTTTTCACACTCATTCTGCCACTCTCCTTTTCTCTTCCTGTGTTGGACATTCCTAACCAGCTGGGGCCTGTTTTCCACTCAGCCTCAAAGTCAGCCTCAACACTGTGCTCTAGATAGCTCCTGCCAAATGAGAGTGGTGGGGCATGAGCAAAAGCCTAGTTCCCATCCCTGCCCAAAACTGCTTGATGAAAAGATACGAACTCTAGAATTCTCTTGTTGTAATTCAACTCTGGAATATTTAGTCCTATTTAGCATTTTCTTTTTGGCTACCCCTTTCTCCAAAGGTGACTTTAAGTCTAAGATCCTATAGGCTTTAAATATAGAAAAAGCATCTATTTCAAAAGGTCTGTAATAGTTTCCCCAAAAAATGAAGACTTTCCTCTAACAAAGTCCAAATCATAATCCACTGGCAAGTGACAGATAATTATGATTGCTGGTCAATTTAACTCAACTTTAGGGTCTATTTATAGGCCATAGAATAATGGGAGTGCTCTGTAGATTTTATTACATTCACATGCTAAGGTAAAAAACAGCAACTCCACGCCAGATAAGGAAAGAATGAGAGACTTTCAGACATTCTTATCCACTTGTTAAAAAAGTAAATATGAATTTTCATTTTTTTTTTCTGTAGGCTGGAGCACATGTACCAGTTCACCTGCCAAATTTCCCTCCCATGAATCTTAGGAAAAAAGTCTTGAAACCAACATTTATTATAGCATTCCCAAACTAATCTTCTTAGTTCTTTACTCTTCCCAAACTGCATAAGTGTCATGATGACTTAGTTCAGCAACTCAATATGTGGTGAATATTCTGGTATTGGTATATTCATTTCTAAATGCAATAAAACTACCAACTATAAAACTTCAGATGAATAAATTAAAATGATTACCTTTTTAAGAAAAGTTAATGTCAGCATGTTTTTACAAAAGCCTGCGGTTGTGGGGCAATTGATTCTTATTATTGCTATTTAACCAACATTTATTGATTACTATGTGTTGATTAGCTCTGTGCACCAGAATGTCTGGTGGCGACTGAAATGTTCTCTCTCTCTCTCTGTGCAAGCCAATGTGTTAGTTCCTGCACTTGTGGCTGCTGAGCACTTGGAATATGCCTGGAACATAATTATTCATTTTATTTAATCTTAATAAATCTACGTTTAAGTGGGCACAACATTTTGGATGGTGCAGATATAGAACAGATAACGGATGTTTCAAAGATACAAAATTGAGAGTGATTCGGTTTTTCTCTCAAAATGCCTACAATGCCATGGAAGAAAAAAAGTGCATACGTGATTTAAAACTAAGACTTCAACTGATTTTTGTGGAATTTGATAAAATGTAAAGGTTGTGTGGAAGAAAAAGAGTCCAAGAATAGTCAAGGAAATTTTGGAGAGGACAAGGTGAGGGGAGAGGAAAGGTGGGATTTGTCTTATTAGATATTACCAGATTCAGTAGGACAGAATGAAGGCTCAGAAACAGATGGAAGCAGGGGCAGGAACCTAATTTAGGAGACAGGCAATAGTGTAAGTCAAGAAGAAGTTCAGTTAAGTGGCATCTGGGCAAGTGGTTGTCCATTCGAAAGAAATAAGTAAAGTTAGATCCCACCATTCTCTGCACAAAAATAACTCCAGAGATATTAAACCTCAATTTGAAAAATAAGATTTAATAAGAATATATAGAAGAAAGTACTTAAGATCTCACACTAGAGCAGGATTTTTAGAACAAGTCTAAAAAAGCAGAAGCTATGAAGGAGGATGATCAGTTTTACTATACGACAATTTAAAATTTGTGTAGCATCCAAGATGCTAAAAGTTAAAAGACAATCCCCAGACTGAGAAGATTGTATATATACAGCTGGCAGAGAAGCAGAATACACAAATATGCAAATAATTTCCCAAAAATCCAATAAGAAAAAAAACCGCCACAAATAACAAAGAGAGCATAAGCAGATGATAGGAAGAAGCAACTCACAGAAGAGAAAACCTGAATGATGAATAAATATGTAAATGTGTTAGTCACATCCCTGACTAGATCAGAACAATGGGGCCACATTTTTCATCCATAGTATCTGCTAGCGTGGTTGAGTCTAACAAGACCAAGTGTTGGTATGGACGTGAAGCAACTCATGTGTTGCTGGTGGGATGTCAGTTGAGGACAGCCATTGACAGCAATGTCTAGTAAAGTTCAAACATGCACACTTATGGTTCATCTAGTCTACTTCTAGGCATTTATCTTTGACCAATTCTTGCATAAATACATAAAGAAATATGCACAATATGTTCACTGCAGCACAATTTGTAATTGTGAAAAATTTTAAATGAGCTAAATGTTCCCCAGTAGGGGAATGGAAAAGTCATAGGATGACCTTTCAATAGAAAGACACAAGAAGTTAGAGTAAACGAGCCCGATCTCTATATATCAAGGCTAACAGGTCTCAAAAATATATTGTAGAGTAAAAAAAAGGAGGGACAGAAAGCTACATAGAGTATGGTACCATTTATGTAAAATTTTCAAAGCACTCTAAATACTATCTACTGTTTCGTTGCAATACCTGTGTGTTAAAGGCTTCAAACAGATAAGAATCATAGCTTCCTGCGAATTACATCTGGGCAAGAGAGGCCTGGGGCCTTGCGGGTGCCCACTCAGGCCCTACTCCTGACCTCCTCAAGGGGCAAGAGGTTGCGCTCACCTCAAGCCAATCACCCTCACTCCCCAACCCACTTCCAACCACACTCTGAGAGCTGGGACCCTGGGATTCCCTGCCCGGTAGCTCTGAGCCCCATGTCCCAAAGAAAAGACCTAATGGCTGCCCCAAGGAGGAAGGGAGGAGACAGAGGATAGGATCTGAAGCAACAGGAAGGAGACTCCAGTCGTGTCTGTGATATGTCAGGACTTTATAACAATATATCCAAAGCAAACATAAGATGATGTTTGCTAATTCTGGGGGTGGGTGGTGGTTTTATCGCTCTTTTTATTATTAGCTGACTCTTACCTAGCACTTATGTTTCAAGGCCTGTTCTAAGTGATTTGCATTAAAAATGAGAGGGTTCTATTATTACTCAGTTTCACAGAAGAGGCTAAATAACTTGCCCAATATCACTCAGCTATAAGGAGGAGAGGGGGATTTGAATCCAGTGGGTCTGGCTCCCAGGTCCACCATGTAGCTAGCAACTATACTGGATCTATCTGTCCATAGGCTGAGATGACTTCCTTTAAAAAAAAAAAGTAATTAAAATTAAAATACCCTGACAACCACAATACAAAAAAAATATAGTGAACTTCCATGAAAATTTTCTTAGATATGTTAGGAGCACTGATGGGGACTGCATTGCTGAGGGAGGAAGGCCGTGGTGGTGGTTGCGGAAGACTTTAAAGAGGGGCTGTTGACATTTGAACCAGGCCTTGCTGGGTGATGGGCAGGGAGGAATAGGGGGATGAAATTCTAAGAAAAGGAAACTTTGTGTGTACAGGCATAGATTTTAAAAATTTCAAGAAGAATGTGAAGATTGGCAAGTAGTTCTGTTTGGCTGTCCACAGGGAACAATTTGAGGAGAAATACAGGTTAGGAGCTAGAAAGGGAGAGTGAGAAAGGAGGATTTTAGAAAACAAGGCAAACTGCTGAAGGTGGCACCCCCAAGCTGCACTGTGGGAAGATGATCCCAAGTGCAGGCTGGACCAGAGGACAGGTGCTGCAGGGACAGAACCCTGAGGGGAGCCCAAGGCAATCACATAGCTGAGATGAGGGGACATGTGAGTGTGTATGAGTGTGTGTGAGTGTGTGTGGTGGGGGAGTCAAGAAGCATCTGTTTATTTCACAAATATTTACTGAGCACCTACAATGCACCAAGCACTGTTCCAGAAGGTATCGATAGAAGAAAATACAAAACTGTCTGCCCTCATGAAACTTGAGTTGTAATGGAGAGACACAGATAAGATAAATAAATAAAATGAATAAGTATAAATATAAATATATGATAAATGAATAAAAACATATCTATGACAATATATGGTGATGATAAGTGCTTTGGAGACAAAGCAGGAAAGGGGGGAATGTGCTAGTGTATGCAGAGGTTGGGGTGGGTTGTTGACTGGTCCCAGTTCCCTGAAAATTCACTGACAAGAGGCAGATGGCTAGAAGAAAAGGTGTACTTATTTATTTAAGGTGTACATGGGGGCCTTCAGAAGGAAGGCCCAAAGATACAGGGGAAATTGCCTAGTTTTATGCTTAGGTTCAACAAAACATGGAGAGCCCTGTCGAAATAGGATTGGACCAAAAGGGTGTGATCTGATGCTGATACTGAGTGAGGAAACCCAGCGAGGCCGGTGGCTCTAGATTCTTCTTGGCCTCTCTGAGCAGCCTTTTTTTCCTTCTGGGTAAGGGGCAGGTTCTTCTGTGGAATGGGAGGTCTTAGGACTGCAATCAACAAGGTAGAACAGTTGATTTCTTTATGGCCAGTTTTTACACAGACAAGTGAGGGAAAATCACAGTGATATTTTTGTTTTATGACTGGCTTTGGGGAAAAGCGTTCTGGTTTCGATGGCTAGCCTGGGGGAGAATGGGACCGAGAGACAGGAGGGCAGAAGATGACACAGAGACTGCTTCTGAGGCCTTCATTTTGGCGTATTGTTTTCTGAGCTCCAACATTGGCAAAAGGGGTTCCAAGCCGAGATGACCTAAGAGTACAGGCCTGAGGAGTGAGTGGTGTCCCCGCCATACTGAGGTTCTGAGTCTGGGCCCAGGACATGGTTGCACCGAAAGGCAGGGCAGGAAAGGGGAGCTGGGTTGGAGGGGGACAGACTGAGTCTGGGGTCCAGCGGGCAGTTGAAACTGCTGGTGAGGACATGAGGCCAGTTTGAATCCAAGCAGCCTGGCTTCAAACTCCTTGTTCCGGAGGAGGAACCGCAAGTCCTCCCAAGGCCTTGGAGAAAAGTGAGCTAAAGGCAGAACGTGGGCCGATAACGTGGGGGCGTGGGGGGACCGCGACCCAGCCCGGGGAAGGCGTCCCAGCATGGACCCAGCAGCCTGGGCAGCCTGGGCGGGAAGTTCTGATCGCGCTCTGCCGAATTGGCAGGCGCAATAAGTAAGCGGAAAAACCAGGATTCAAACCAACCACCAACACCCTTCCCTGGCGTTCAGACCGAAGGTGGGTGGGAAGGCCCTGGCGAAGGAGGTCTGCATCAGGCCTGGCCTTGAGGCGATCCCTTCTCACCCCAAACCTCCTGGACGCTGAGCAAGCCCCTTCGCCTGTGTGGGTTGCCCGGCTGCCCTCTGGGGAAAGTTGGGTGATCAAATCCCAAGTTGTAGCTCTCGATGGGTCGAGGGCGATGGCCAGCGCTGTGCTGGGAACGGGCAGCCCTGCCCTGCCCTGCCCTGCCCTGCCCTGCCCTGCCCTGCCCTGCCCCACATGGGCGCAGGAGGCCTCCGCACGCGCAAGGGCCAAGGGCTGGAGGGGGCTCTCCCGGGCACAGGCACCGGACCCGGGGCGCGCGCGCGCGTCCTTAGTCCCCGGGCTGCACTCCGGGCCGCTGAGAGATCGGGTCCCAGAAGTTCCGGGAGTGGTCGGGTGACCCTGGAACTTTCTTCTTCTGGAGCCCGACCTGGGGCTGACTGCAGAGCAGGCTGCTGGCAGGGACCAAAAGGAGCTCCGCGCCAGGCCGGAGGCTGCGCCCGTCACTCGCGGTCCCGGCCGGGTCCCTGGCGCGTAGTCAGGCCGCACCGCCCGAGCCCCACCGCGCGCCCACCCCGGCCGGGTGCGTCCGGCTCGCGGCCGTCCCTCCCGCGACCTGTGGCCCGGGGCTGCTGCGGGCGCCCGGGGAAGAGAGGCGGGGGCCGCGGGGGGCAGGAGGAGCGGCTGCGGCCGGCACAGCGCCAGGGCGAGTGAGGCGGGTGGCGCGGGGGAGGCGGCGGAGTAAAGAGAGGCCGCCGGCTGGGTCCGCGGGTCACTCCGAGGCGCGGGCTGCGGGCGGCGGGCGGCGGGCGCACCATGCCCTCCTTCGACGAGGCGCTGCAGCGGGTGGGCGAGTTCGGGCGCTTCCAGAGGCGCGTGTTTTTGCTGCTGTGCCTGACGGGCGTCACCTTCGCCTTCCTCTTCGTCGGCGTGGTCTTCCTGGGCACGCAGCCCGACCACTACTGGTGCCGCGGGCCAAGTGCCGCGGCGCTGGCCGAGCGCTGCGGCTGGAGCCCGGAGGAGGAGTGGAACCGCACGGCGCCCGCCTCCCGCGGCCCAGAGCCCCCCGAGCGCCGCGGCCGCTGCCAGCGCTACCTCCTGGAGGCGGCCAACGACAGCGCCTCCGCCACTAGCGCTCTCAGCTGCGCGGACCCACTCGCCGCCTTCCCCAACCGCTCGGCTCCCCTTGTGCCGTGCCGCGGCGGCTGGCGCTACGCCCAGGCCCACTCCACCATCGTCAGCGAGGTAAGGGCGCCCCGGCCCTTTGGAAGCCGGCGGGAGAGGACGATGCTGGCTCCCAGGCGGACAAGCCGCGTGTGAGACGCTGGCCGCCAGGGGAGGTCGGTGGAGACGGGGACCGGTCGGCTACCTCTGGGGACAGACAGGATTCAGCGCACCCTTGGAAGTGCCGCGTCGTAAATGCTGGGAAAAGCCTTTCGTTATCTGCCTGAGCCCGTGAGTTAATGCACAGATACTTTGGTTTCGGGTGTGAACAAAAACTTTCTTCGAAGCCGAGTTGTAAACGCCTGGCGCACGCCTGCTCAGGAGTCAAAGACCCAGCACCGCGTTCCTTATCTTTGAGGTGTGCGGGCGCCGTCATTGGAAATTATGGTTAGGTGCGCGATAGGGAACTTCAGTCTCTGGGGTGAGCGACGTTGGCAGTTCCGGATTCGCTTATGGTCTCCAGGGTCAAAGGAAAGGGCGAACCAACGTTTGAAGGCAGCAGCAGCTTTTTTCCAGTTGCCCAAATGGTTACTCAAAATGCAAGGGGACAAAGGTCGAGGCTTTCCCGGGGAATGGTTTTGGTAAAATTGCTTTGGGGCAAAGAGCAACATCTGGGATAAGTTGGGAAAACTGAAGTATTGGATAAATTTTAGTTTTTTTTTCTGGTAATAAATTTTAGGAACATAGCGGGAGGGCCACAGCCTTCCAACGCAAATCCCCAACCCATTTACAGGCGGAGGCTGCTGCCGGCGGGTGGGCGGGGGCGATCCCCACATTTTGGGCAGTCAGTGCATTTGGAAGTTAGGGGAGCTTCCTTCACCCTTGCCCTCAGTAATCTGTTTCTGCATCCTTGCTGAAATGGAAGATTGCCTCTCTGTGAGGTCCAGATATAGAGCAGAGTCACTTTGTAATAATCGGAACTCAGAAACGGCCTCAATTGAGCATGGGTTGCAGAGATGAGCAGTTTTACTGAGCTTTGTCTACAATCACAGCTTAAGTTAATTTTAAAAAAAGATTGAATGTGATCAGGTACATTAGGAAAAAAGGTTTGTCTTTTTTTTGTGATAAACTTTAAAAAATCACCTACTTGAAGAGTGGGGAAAACACTGGATGAGGAGGTAGGAGCGCCCTTTCTGCCGCTGTTGCTGTTGGTCTGGTGAGCTTATCTCGCTGCAGTTGGGAGTGTCGGTGGTTGCAATTGTACATGTTTTATACGCCATGTGCTGGTGTGTTCGCACAGTGGATGGCTCTATGCTATGTGCTCCAGGGATAAAACCCATGGCAGGACAGCCAGGCGATGTGTGTATGTGTTTGGGATCTTTCTGTAACGCCGTGTGCTGCTGTGTTCGCACAGTGGATGGCTCTATGCTAAGTGCTCCAGGGATAAAACCCCCTGGCAGGACAGCCAGGCAATGTGTATGTGTGTTCAGGGTGTTTCTATAATGCCACATGCAAGTGTGTTCGCACACTGAGTGGCTCTATGCTGAGTGATCTCAGGATAAACCCCCCTGGCAAGACAGCCAGGCAATACATATGTGTGTTGGGATCTTTAATTTCTACTTAATCCATGGTAAGGCTGGGGACTGCTTTATAATTGGTGATGGTCTGGTTAGAGATTTCACAGTTGAAAGGACAGGGCATGGACTTGGATGAGAGAGGGCATTATCTCTGTGAGTCGCATCTGTTAGGTGGCTTCTTCCACTCCACTCAGCAGCGCTGCCTAATGCTTACTTCCCAAGTGAACCAGAGGACCCACATGGAGGGCAGACAGCTGATTTTTGGAGACATTTAAAGATGAAGAATAAAACGAGCCTCAACAAGTGCTCAAGCGAGGTTTGCATGAGTGAGTATGATCCATGGACATCAAAGAAGACAGACATAAAAATCTGTAATTTAATGCTCTGACGGATACTTTGGAAGCATTCTGGAGTTGCAGGGTTACTAGCATCCCGGGGTTACAATAAGGTGATTTTATGAAGATCAGTGGCTACTAAAATGCAGTGTGGAATGATGGAGGGTCAGGGGCTGGCTCGGTCTCCAGCTGGCTGTGTGGCTTGGGTGAGTTACTCGCCTTCTCTGGGCTTGTATTTTTCCTCTGTAAAATTAGCCATTGGATTCAGCCCGTTACAATGCTCCAAATGCCATCAGGGTCACCACCTGGTTACTGTTTGGTGTGCCCAGAACAATGATTAAAAAGTCTTTAAGAAAGTAGAATGATATTAGGAATGTACCCCGTAAAGCCCCAAAAAAGTTTTTGAAATATATTGGAGAGATTCTTTTTTGTTTTGTTTTGTTTTGTTTTCTTTGAGACGGAGTCTCTCTCTGTCGCCCAGGCTGGTGTGCAGTGGCGTGATCTCGGCTTACTGCAAGCTCCGCCTCCCAGGTTCCTGCCATTCTCCTGCCTCAGCCTCCCGAATAGCTGGGACTACAGGCGACTGCCACCATGCCCGGCTAATTTTTTGTATTTTTAGTAGAGGCGGGGTTTCACTGTGTTAGCCAGGATGGTCTCGATCTCCTGACCTCGTGATCCGCCCGCCTTGGCTTCCCAAAGTGCTGGGATTACAGGTGTGAGCCACCGCGCCCAGCCTCTTTTTAAATTCCAAATAGTTTTGTGCTTCTTTTGGTTTGTTTTTCATGTTTGGTTTCTTAAGAGGAAAACCCCCATCTATTCATAAAGTTCAACTATCCAAAACAAGTCAGCAACTCTCTGAATTCTGCATAGCTAATATTTTGCTGTCTTTGGTTCAACTAATTTTTTTCTTTCAAATTCTGTCTGATGAAAGGAACTGTAGTTCCATCTTCAGCTAACATTATGTATCCAGTGTATTTTTATAAACTTGAAGCCTAAGATACAAATCATGCAAAGGGGTGAATTGGGAGAGTTTACAAAGTGGGCGGGATGACCAGACTCCAGAATGCCTCCATATAGCTATAATACTTCATCCTTGCACCATGGTGGGAGGGGTATCATTGTCCTGGCTTCATAGAAGAGAGACCTGAGGACCTTCCAGGGTCCCACGCCATTTATGTAGCCAAACTGGATTCAAATCCGGGGGCCTTGATTGTAAGTCAGTCCACTTTCCTCCATAAAGTGCTCAAAATCCTTCAAGCAAGTCCATGAAACATAGTACTCAGATCTCTCACACTTTATAACCTGCAGAAACCTCGTTGAAACTTTGTATTTATTTTCTTACTATCATGGTCCTCCAATGGGCTACTTTGTTTCATTTTACGGTGTCAGGATCCACAGTCAGCCAGACTGGCAGATGGGGAGGCTGTGCTTTCATTTGGTGGGAATGGTTCTCTAGCCTCCTGATGTGAAAGTTGCAAAATGGTCATTTAAATCTCATACACCACCTTCGCATCTTACAACTTGAGATAGTTCTAAGACACTAAGTCAGAAATCAATGCCAAGGGCACATCCCTTTATGGCCAGCTCCTAATTTGTGTCTCCTGCTCAAGGCAAGGCAGTGGATTTATCACCCACATTGAACTTCCTCAGTGGAGACTTTTCTAATGTCCGAATCTCGGCCTTATCTTGTTGTCAGATATTGGGCAGAATAAAATACAATGTAACGCAGAGAAGCGAGTCTGACCCCCTGTCCCAAATATTTCAATTCACTGCCCAGGGAGTGTCTTCAAGATTGATGCTAGGATTTTTCAATGCTTGCTAATATGGTATGGATGAAAAAAAAAGAGCTTTTCCCTAGGCTATCACTCAGAGCAGGGCTTCAGAACACCTTTAAAAATAGACTGAATCACATTTGTTTTTCCTTTCCAGATCATTTTGACTTGGAATCACTTTTTCCCTTCCAGATTACCTGGCTGAATCTATAAAAACTGAATCCATTGTTTGTTTTTATTAGAAGAGTGTGTCTTTCCCATACTTTCTGAAACATCAACAATTCAACAAAAATTTTATGTTGGCCCTTGTCCCTCAGAGTAACTAGTCCTTTCTGTTGATGACAAAAGTGTTTTAATAGTGTAATAGGTTTTTGTTTTGTTTTGTTTTTTGACAAAGTCTCGCTATGTCACCCAGGCTGGAGAGCAGTGGTGCAATCTCAGCTCACTGCAACCTTGCCCCCCGGGTTCAAGCAATTCTCCTCCCTCAGCCTCCTGAGTAGCTGGGATTACAGGCACCCGCCACCGCGCCTGGCTAATTTTTGTATTTTTAGTAGAGACAGGGTTTCAGCATATTGGCCAGGCTGACCTCAGGCGATCTGCTTGCCTAGGCCTCCGAAAGTGCTGGGATTACAGGCATGAGCCACTGCACCCAGCCTAATAGTTTATTTTTAATGGAGTGAAAGCAGGACTCTAATGAGTGAACAGCCACCCCACTAGGTGTCTGATTCTTGGTCTAGGCAGCAGAATGGCCAAACAGATTCATGCAGCAATGCTTTCTGGACCTCAGAACAAGGAAAATATTTACAATAAGGACCTTCATTATGAGAATGTGCAAGAGTATCTCCTGCTCCTCTCTGGCAGCTGATATTTTGGATTATCAACATCAGTTCAGCTGAAGTTTATTTAGCATTTATTTTATTCTAGGCACTGGGCTAGGCTGGGGATACAAAGATACACGAGTCTTTCTCAAAACAGCGTGAAGCTTGGCAGGGAAAATTGCAGCGATAATGTGATGACAGTGGCTGTGGGTGTGATAAAGGGTACCACCCTCTGATGGGACAGAGGAGTGAACCAGGGCAGAAAGTACATTGACCTTAACCTCAACCTCTGAGTACAAGGAGGAGTCCAAGAGGAAAATATGAGGGAAAAGATGTTCTATTCTCACACCCTCTCATCTTCATTATTTTCTCTGCACCCATTTATTTTGTGCCCTCAGGAGCAGTGGTTGGTGTGCATTCTCGGGTCGCACACACAGGGTTTGGAATCAAAAGACGAGGGTTGGAGTTCAGGAATTTTCCTTTTTCACAAACATCTAGGGCCCTTTTCAGATGGTCCATGGACCACACAGAGAGACAAGCTGGGTGTTTCTTAATGAGGAGCATGATGAGAATATAATGACTGGGAGAGAATTGCCAGTTCCACCAAGCACACCCTGGAGACTCTCAGAGGGGAACATTATCCCTTTATCCTCAGACAGGTATCCCAAATCTTATCAGATGAAATGCTGCTGTTTATTTTCAGAGAGCTTTGAGCTCTCCAGGGATGGGCAACTGATAATAAAATCCTGGAATTAACTGGGGAGCGGGGGAAGCCCACAGCTGAACCACACTTTCTGGGAGTCTTGGTAAACCTTAGAAAGGAGCTTTGGGCAAAGGTAGGGGACTCCAACAGATGTTGCAGAGACATCTGTACTTTTGGACCCACGGGTTATTTTTGGCATTGACATCTTAGTAGAGTGGAAAGAATACACATGTCCTTTGGTGTCAGATAAATCTTGTCCTAAATCCCAGCTCCTCTATTAACTTGAAGGGCAAGTCAACTGAGCATCTGCCTGAGCCTCAGTTTCCTCAGCACTAGAATGGGTACAAGAATGCCTGCCTTAGCAATTGGCTTGACATATGCTTGCAAAGTGCCTGGTCATAGGTGGTGCTCAGAACAGTTGGTTCCTGTGAACACATAAAGACCCTTAAGCCAGGTGGGAGTCAGGAGGGAGGGAAGGAACAGGCTATGGGCCAGATTTGACCCTGGAGCTGTAAGTTTGCTGATCCCTGGTCTAGCATAATAAATCACTGATAAATTTGCCTTAAATATAAAGAGTCAAAGCCTTGGCCAGTTGTGGTGGTTCATGCCTGTAATCCCAGGAGTCTGAGGCCAGCCTAGGCAGCATTTTGAGACTCCAACTATACAAAAATATTTTAAAATTTTTAAAAAATTGGCCGAGTGTGGTGATGCATGCCTGTAGTCCTATCTACTCAGAAGGTTGAACCCAGGAGGTCGAACTGTGCTGCTGTATTCCAGCCTGGGTGACAGAGGAAGACCCTGTCTCTAAAAAATAAAATAAAATATCTCGGACACTAATTTGCTCTAAAGGCTGAGAATACCGATACTTTCCCACTGGACCCCACAGGTAGGTCATATTTCCCAGCTTCCCTTGAAGCTAGAGAGGCCACGTGTCTGAGTCCTGGTCAGTGATGTTGGGGAAGTGAATGTGGAACTGCTAAGCCTGGAGCCGGAGCAACCTTCCTCCTGCAGTCCCCGGAGGATGGTGGAACTCTTACACGGAAGGATATGCGTTCCTGGAGGCATGCGAGGCAGGCAGGAGCCCCACAGCTCCCCTCCACACCAATTCATCTGCACAGGAATATGGGATTGCGAATAAGAAATAAGCTTTATTGTGTTACACAACTGAGGCTTGGGAGACTGCTTGTTGCAGCTCTTCCTGTTAGGCTGCTCTGACTCATACAGCATCTTAGTGTGCTTCCTGGCAGGGCACAGGTCACGAGGCTGTGGGCACCTGACAAAATGGTATGGAGGCTGGTGCCTCTAAGAGCATCCTCCCCTAGGTCTGGTACACAAGGTCTCTGTGCCTCCACCCCATGTCTCCGCCTATAGAGGCTTTTCCCTCTCTTAGCCCCCGGGGCTCCCACTCTCCAGGCAGTCACCCTGGGACATGTGCCACAGCTGTCCTCCCCTTGGGCTCTTGTGTGCGCTGTTTCCTTTCCTTTCCTCAAAATACCTGTCTTTCCTCGGCCGGGCACGGTGGCTCACACCTGTAATCCCAGCACTTTGGGAGGCCAAGGTGGGCAGATCACGAGGTCAGGAGATCGAGACCATCCTGGCTAACACGGTGAAACCCCGTCTCTACTAAAAAAAAAAAAAATACAAAAACGATTAGCCAGGCATGGTGGCGGCTGCCTGTAGTCCCAGCTACCGGGGAGGTTGAGGCAGGAGAATGGCGTGAACCCGGGAGGCGGAGCTTGCAGTAAGCTGAGATCGCACCACTGCACTCCAGCCTGGGCGACAGTTAGAGACTCTGTCTCAAAACAACAACAACAACAACAACAACAAAAAACTTGTCTTTTCTCATGAGGCTGTTCCGTTTTGTACCTTTACACACACCAATTCCAGACACACCTTCCCCACTGCTGCCTCTACCCAGGGCTGGGCTTGGCTTCCTTTATCTGTCTAGCTGCCTTCCCTCTACTCATCTTGTGCTCACTGCCTCATCAGACTCTGAGGTGCTGGAGGGCCGGCGCTCTGCCCTCCTAGCCTAACGCAGTGTTTGGCAAATATTTGTGATTAAATTAATGAATGAAAGAGAAAGGGATTCCTTGGCACGTGTAATGCTTTTTATGACCATGGCTAGGCCAACCCTGGAATTGGCTTTCAGAGATTAACCCAGGCCCTCTACCGATGGTGTTGCTTCCTGTTGACTCCTAACGCCGATTCCTTGCCTCATCCTCCGCCTTCATCATCTTCTGCCTTGCATCCATGAGGTGTGATCAGTCACAGGGTGAACAATCATCGGCGGCCATGGCCGCCCGCAGACCTCTGGAGCAGGAGGAAAACAGGCCTCCACTTTACTTGACTCCTATCTGCTCATGGGGTCTGTGTCCGCAGAATCCTAATGTAGGGGGTGTGACCTGGAACATGAAAGGGACAGGAAGGAATAGAACTGCTGGCTCTTTGGGGCCATAATTTTAATGTGCTGACGTCCATTGTGCAGAAGAGACTTTTCCCAGCTGTCCTGGCACCACACAGTAGTCTGTGTCATCAATCGAGCCTGCTCCAGGGCAGCTGGGCACAGGTGCAAGGCCCGGTGCAGGGAGGAGCACTGAAGGGCCTGGGCTGAGCAGCTCCCAGGGTGCAGCGCTGTCCCCTTCATGGCTATGGAGTGGGGAGCAAACACCACCTACCTTCCAAAACAAACTAAAACCTTTCCAACATTCTGCCTCGGTTTTTTCCCCACCCCCTCTTAAATCATAACCAAGAAAGGACATGTATTTATATTCTGTGAGGAAAAAGCAAAGTTTTAATGGTCTTTGGTGTGGCTTTTTAAAATGATAAATGACTGTTGAGCTTGTCAAATCATGGCTAATACTGTTTTATCTGGGTGAGATCAGTAACAGCTTTTTAAGGGTTACCATGCTGTTATTTCTCTTCGTGTTGGTAATAAAGCAAAATAACTCTGTGGCTGGTACTTGTGTGATAATAGAGAAAATTAGTGAGGGGTGAAGTTTAGGGGCTTAGAAGAAGGTGAATAAATAAATGTAATTTAAACAATTCTGGGGCAGGCATCCATCCCACCTTCCTTAACATCTGCTCTAGATTCTAGTGCCCTGTAGAGTCCAAGGAGGGGAGCTGTCCTTGACTGTGAGCATAGTGGAAACCACTGGATGGAGGAAGGGTAGGCACAAGCCTGGACCTGAGAAACAAAGGCACCTATTCTGCTTTCAAATTCAGTCCTGGGAGAGCAGGTGACCTCTGTCATAGGACTGCTATAGGGCACCAGCAGTGGAGATAACCAAGTGATAAGCAAGTCTTTGGCTTTCCATTAACAGAGACCACTGGTCCCAACATGGAAAAGCGTCCCAGAAGCCTTTCCCAGTTGCTGCGTCCACCTAGCATACACACAGGATGGCTCTGATTTCATGACACTTCTGCCAACGGGAAGCTTTGGGCAATCGACAGCACAAAATGAAAGACAACATGTGTGCTTCCAGGCTAGTGGGGAGGGACGCCGTAAGCTGATGCTTCTGAGACAGAAACCGAAGGGACAAGGTGCCAGGAGCTCCTATACTAAAAACTGTTTGTAGCACATTTATGGGGATTAAGTGGTTGTGGTGAAAACAGCCTGCACGTTTAATATTGATGACGTTTTAAAAAGCAATGCACTGCAAATATCTGTTGAGAAATGAATGCCCTTTAATTGTTCACAAATGAGTATCTTAAAGAAAATACCCATAGAGAAGTCACCTGGATAGTTAAAAACATTAACTACCCAGGGTAGAGGAGAAAATTAGATTGAAACTAATTCAGATTAATTTGGCATCAACTTTAAAGAAATCAAATAAATAAATGTCCAAGTTATTAGAGTGTAAGAAAGTGTTCCAGGAACCTTTTCCACAGAGGTTCTTGATCTTCCTGTGTGGCAGTTAGTGGGAAATTATGTGACAAATTTATCACATCTCTTGTCAGCTCCTAGCATCCTTGTAAGATTGCTACAATTCCCTATCCAGTCTGTATCTAATAGAGCATACATAATGATTTTTATTTTAATTCCAACCAAGTTGAATACATTATAAAACCAAATAAAATTGTCTATTTATCAACTCCAGAGATCATTAGATAATAACAATTTATTGTTGCAGAGTTTTGTGAAAAAATTATCAAATTTTAGATCCAAACTGGTTTAGTGTAGTGTATTGCTAAGGCAAATAGGTGGCTAAGAACGTAGACTTCCTAGTTTTGTGGATGCAAGCAAATGGCTGAATTTGAGGGTTTTTGAGCTCTGGACTAGCCCAGTCCTGAGATTTCCTGGTTTTAGTGGGGAGACTTAGGTAAATAAGGCATTCAAAGTGCTTGTCCTGTTGTCTGAGATATGTAAGTAGCTGGTGATGATCATAGATGCTGACAACAGATACTGAGAAAGTTGACTCAGAGAGGCAGCTTGGGCCTGGAAATTCAGGCAAATGGCAAGCCCCTAGGGCTGAGGGAAGCGTGCTTTAGGCAGGGCACCAAGATTCCAATACTAAGGACGTGGCCAGGGTCCACTCTCTGGAGCTGGTATAAACTGGAGCTTAGTAATGAAAACTAGGGAAAGGCCCAGGGTAGAGGTCGGAGCTACCAGATTTGGCAAGATTTCTCAAGCCCCCGTGGATTCAGTTGTGATATAGAGTGAACAATCCCCCCATCCGGGTGGCTCTGGGGACAAATGAGAAACATGCAGGAACCGCTGAGCATGTGGAAGGTCCTGGGCACATGCCAGTTCCCTCCTTCTTGCTCTTTGTCACTAACTGTGGTGCCCAAGTCCTCCCCTTGCCTGGTCTAGTCTGGGGTTGCTGGATGTGGACTCACTCAGAACCCCACACTTCTTTCCAATTGCAGTCTGAGCAGAGGGACGCTGGGACAGAGCCCTGGACTTTCCTAAAACCGGGAAATCCCAGGACAGGACTAGACCAGAGCTCAGTGAGGGCTGAAGACTCAGCTGTGGGGCTGCAGGGCTTGAACTCCATCGCATGTTTTCTCATGAGCCTGGAAATCCTTCAATAAATATGAACAACAAAAGTGCCCCAAAGGTGCTGTGTTAGAAAGGCACCCATCTGGCTCATGCCTGTATTCTAGTTGAGTCAATAAGGCAAATTTACCTTATGTTGTTTGTGGGCAGTTGCAATGGTCCTATAGGCAATGAAAACATCAGATCACAGTTTGCTTGTGTTGCTGTGAGAATCTGACCTCAAAGAAAATACTCCCCCAACCCAAATCCAAATCTATGAAATGAAGACACAGCAGTTGTGGTGGGGCACTAATTATGAATGTTGAGCTTCAGGTTAGGGTTGAAGTAAATTTGGGCTAAAGTGCTTTATATATTGAGCATTCCAATTCTCATAACATTGAATAGACACTAAAACTTAATTTACGAAAGTAGTTTAATAGCCAATGGGGACAAAAATTTATTCTTACAGTTATCAATACTCACTTCCTGCTTAGAAACTTGTTTTCTTCCTTAATTACCAGAAAACAGAGTACATTTAATAATCAATCATACTAAATTTAAAATTAGGGAAAGAGAGCTTATGGTGTTCAGCAAAAAGGGAAATATCAAAAAAGACATCTTAGCATCTGGATTTTTTGGCCAAAAGGAGAGCCTGCAGTTTAATTAATGGTCTACATCAAACAGGATATTTTATGAAGCAATAGAAAGCTGTAATTAAATCTAGCCTTCTGGATTTGATACATCACAAAACCAGGAGATAAAAACAACAGAAAATTGGTGATAGGGTTGAAACTCAACCTTGTTCAAGAAGCATTCACAATGGAAGCTGTTGACCTATATTCTATATACTTTACATTTCAACAGATAGTCTATGTTTGAACAGTGATTTTTTTATATGTGAAGATTTTCTGTAAAGAACTGTATTAACATTTGTAAACAGAGTCCAAGAAAAATTAATTATGACTCCTTTTTTGGATTTCACATTGGTACAGCATGACCTTTAACTCATTATCTTATTACAACTATTAGAAGAATAGTAAAAACATATTTCATATACTTTTCAAATATTTATAATCATAGTATTCTTTTTATAATAGTTTTCAATTCTTATTTGATAGCATGCTATACAATTATTTTTCCTTACTAAACTTTCATAGACATTTCACTTAAATGATTTTTCTTTTTTTAAACCATATAACCTGTCAAAGTATAAAAGACACATACAAGCGGCCGGGCACAGTGGCTCATGCCTGTAATCACAGCACTTCGGGAGGCCAAGGTGGGTGGATCACCTGAGGTCAGGAGTTCGAGACCAGCCTGGATAACATGGTGAAACCCCGTCTCTACTAAATATACAAAAATTAGCCAGCCGTGATGGCAGGCTCCTGTAATCCCAGCTACCTGGGAGGCTGAGGCAGGAAAATCACTTGAACCCAGGAGGTGGAGGTTGCAGTGAGCCAAAATCACGCCATTGCACTTCAGCCTGGGCAACAAGAGCAAGACTCTGTCTTAAAAAAAGGATATATACAAGGTACAAATTATTTGAATTAGTCTATATTGATCTCCCTTTTCATTCTCTCAGTTTCTCTTTATTAAACCTCTTTCTCTTAAGAACATAAACAAACAACAACTACTAGAAAAGCTTTAAAGTCCAGCATTAGTCAAATTGAAGTACTGTCCTGACCCGGAAAGCATTATCCAAGAAAGTGCATTTCAAGGCCACCTTTCCTAAACCAGTCTCAGGAAGGTCCACGCTCTATTTCCCTTTGCAAAAGCATTTAAGTTAATGCTGATATATGATTTGTATTTATTAACTCCCCCCCGCCCCAACCAATGTAGTCTTTTTTACCTTAACCTATTATTGACTTGGTGACAAGATATAGAGTGATCATGGAGCTGGGATCCATGTTCCTATGTGTCATCAGTTAGAAGAATGAAGAGGCCAAGGGAGTCATTCTAATATTTATATGGAAGAATAAAGGCCCAGAAGCAGGTAAATCATTCTAAAAGAAGGGGTAGGGAGTAAGAGGAGGGCTTCCTCTACCAGAAATTAAAGTGAAATTCCAAGCCAAAGTAATCAGAACAGCATGGTATTGGAACAAGAACAGACAAGTGGACCAGTGAAAAGATCAGAGCACTTGGAGACTGACTCCACCCAGGGGAACATCATATACAATAAGGATGGCCTCATAACTCCATGGGGAGAGGATGGATTGTTGGCTAACTGATGTTGAGAAAAGTAATGACTCATCAGATATGGAGAATGATCAATCTGCCTATCACCATGTACAAAGGTGGACTCAGGGTGAATTGAAGACTTAAATGTCAAAGTAAAAGGTAATATTAACAAAGGAACATACAGAGAAACATGACAAGGTCAGGGAAAGACTTTTTAAAGAAAAGTATAAGCCAAAAATGGATTATCTAGATTATATCAGATTTCTGCCTCATGACAGATACCATCAGCAGAGTTAATTAAGTGATGACAATGATACTGAGTAGAGCCATGCTACTCTAATCAAGGGTCGTTATGGGAGTTATACAATGCATATTGTACAATGCATATTGAAGCCAAAGGCTTCAATAATGTTCACTGTGTGCTCAACACTGTTGTAGACACTTGACATGTGTTCAACTCACTTAATCCCTACCCACTTCATGAGGCATGTGCCATTTTTGTAGATTTTTTTTAGAGGAGGAAAGGAAGGTACAGAGAGATTAGATAATTTGTCCAGAATCTGGAGCTGCAGGATAGGAGACTTGGAAAAGAAATTGCAATGTCTGAACCAACAAGTAATTAACTGACATCTCTAGAACAGGAAAAGAAGTTCTGTAAATCAACAAGTAAAAGATAGCAAGTCTTGCAGAGGAATCAGCAAAGGATACAGATAGTTTTCATGAGAAGAAACTTCTCCAAAAGGCGACTAAGCACATGAAGAAATGTGTGTGTCTGGGGAGCTTTCCCCTTCTAATACTAGGTCAGTTTCTGTGTGGTAACTTGAGAATACAATGAAACATCGTTTAAAGTAACCTGTGGCATGTTACTGGTACCTTGCAGGCTAAATACATCCTAAGTGTGCTAATACTGCAGATACCTTGATCCCCTTAGGACAGTTGACCCAAGCCTTCCCAGGAGCTGTTTACCTGGGGGTGTCACCTGGCTGCAAAACAGGGATGAACAATGCACAGATTTCAGGGGTCACCCAGGGATGCTGCGACCTCAGAACACGTCACATGGAAGATGCCTCTCAGTTTCCATCTGAAAAGCCTGGTATTAATCCAATAATTCAATCACCAAATTTAGTAGTTGCATTCCCCAGATTTTCTTTTGGGCAATCCACAGTTTGTAGAATGCTTTTCTGTGTTCCCAGGTTCAGAATTTCAGGGATTGCTTCTGTCTTCAAGGAGCACTTCAGCTTCCTGGTTAGGAAGAGAAGGTAGCAGACGTGTAGAAAACCCTCTGCGAGACTCTGCTCTGGCAGTTTTATGGGTAGGCGCAGGCCTGCCTGAAACCAAACGCTTTCCTTTTTCCTTCACCCTTTCCCGTTGTTGTCTTTTTGGTTCCTTTGGTATGGTAGTGTCTCCATGTGAGTTTCCAGGGAAGCAGAGGCTGAAGCGAGGGCGTGGGAGCTGTTTCATGCATTAGACTCTCTGGGGAGCAGCCACAGGGAGGGGACTGAGGGACACCGCGGGATGTCCAGAGAGGCCGGTCCCCAGCGGGTGGGGGCGGGCCAGACGGTGCGGAGGGGGAGAGGAGGAAGACTGTGTCCAGGGCATGAGCCTTCTGGCATTGTGGGTTCCCCCACGCTCCAGCGCCGGAGGGGACCCAGGCGGCACCAGCGCGTTAGGCTGCCCCCGGGAGCAGTGCTGCAGGAGCCCCGAGCTCGAGGTGGTGCCGGCAGCCGCGCGCTCAGAGCTCCAACAGGGCTGGGCCGCGGCCAAGGAGCCAGGAGGGTGCACGAGAACGTCCCATCCAGGGACCCACGGATACTTCGTTCCTGCCAGGGTCTCCTTTGGGCCGACAGAGTTGTCTCTAATTGAGTGCAGGCAGCCCCGGAGCCCGCCGAGAGCTGAGGCTGGGCTGGGCTCCCGGGGACTCGGGCAGCTATTTCAGGCAGACGCGGGGCATCGCGCCCCAATGCGCACAGTGTTGCCGAGGGGCAGAAAGAGAGGGTCTCAGCCTAAGCCAGGTGGAAGGTCCGAGAAGAGGCTGGAAGGGGGCGATGGTCCAGCAGGAGCTGGGATGAACAAGGGCTGGAAGAGCAGGTGGGAGTTCCAGGTGAGGGAAGTGACCTGGAAGCGGAGCAGAGGTCGCAGCTGGCCCCTGCTGGGCCTAGTCTCGCTTCTGTCGTGACCCCTTGTCTAGGAAGATCCCATCGCGAAGGCCTCATGAGTCCCACGTGACCGGCACGCCTGTGAGGCAGGAAGCTCAGAGTCCAGGCCCCGTGCCCCTCTTTGGGGGCTAGAGCTTCTCCCAGGTGCAGGCAGCCTGTTCACAAGAGCGGGGCCCTCCTGGGTGAGGCCTCAGGCTCCGGTTGTCACCCCTGGCAGGCGTGTGCCCAGCTTAGATCCACCTGCAGCTGGCTCTGAACGCTGGATGGGGCTGGGTTGGGGTTTTCCTGTGGCCTGGGGTGAGTCCCAGCAAGCCACCACCATCCTTGCCCACTCCCCACAGGACAGAGCATAGACCCTGTTCCTAATCCTCCCAGGCCACACTCCGCAGAATGCTGCTTCTCTGTTTCCAAGCGCCTGCATGTCTTGCATCCCCTGCCACCATCTTTTGTCCGCCTGAAGGGGCAGCCCCATAAACCTTACTTAGACATGTCCCTGCCCCCAGCACAGGGGCTGCCTTCAAGACCGCCTTTGTCTGTGGGGTTTTTCCTTGATGACTGTTCAGCATGCCGGCCCCACTTTCTTCTGCTTGCATCTGGGGTTCTCCCAGGCTGACCAGCTGTCCCCACTTGCTGGGAGTGAAGGGGTTTCCTGGGATACGAACTTTCAGTATTAAAACCAGGAGAGTCCCAGACAAACTGGGACAATTGGTCACCCTAACTGACCCACAAGTAGAAAAATGATTCATAAAATGTATAATAATGAAAAGCTGTGAATTATTTGCATGTATAATAGAGGGAGAACATGGTTAAATAAATGTGGTGTAGCCATTTGAAATAGCTACTACAGGGATGAGGAAACAATACCTATAAAATAACACAGAAATGTTGATGACATATTAAGGAAGAAGAAGTCTGGGTTATACATTTGTGCAAACTGTATGATTTCAACCATATTTGTACACTCCATGTGGTAGATGGGTTGTTGGAAGGTAAAGACTGGCTGCATAGGGGCCCTAAAGGTGAGAGCTTTTCAATACTGCTGCTTACGCTTTCTTCTTAACTAATTCAGATATTATTTTGCCAAATGCAGAGCCAGGAGGTGTGAAGCAGCCTTCATGGTGGCACCACATGTGACACAGATGAGTAGATGGGTGCAGCGTTGACAATAACTGCAGTCATATTGTTCATCTTGATGGGATTTCTGAGTAACAAGTCAAAGATGCAGAAATTAAAGTATACAAATTGGATTGGGTTTTCAGTAAAGGAAAAGGCACCAAATCGTTTCTCAGTAAGGCACAGTAAAGGGAGGCTATCAAAACCTATTGTTAGTAAAAGTACCTATTGATGATCTCTTAAGCAAAATTGTTACCTAGTTGTCCACGTGAAGGAAAGGACTCTCTGAAAAGAGGGGGCTGTTTAGAGAAGAATCAAGCCTCTGGCACCAGAGGGGACTCCCCAGTTAGGAAACTGTTGTAACAAAAGGACTCCATCGCTCAGAGCAGGATCAGATGATAAATCAGGCTGAAATGGTATAAGAAACCTACAATTACCTTCCTCCATATGAATAATTGAAAAGGCAATGGCTTCATTTAGGTTGTAATCTGACTTACAGCTTTTAATAGCTATGCTCTGTTAAAGTGTACACATTATCTTTTACCTTATTGAGTTTATATTGCTTTATATCAATATAATGATTTTTTTACTATGTAAAAAAATACACTTACATAGTAAGTATATTTACATAGTAAAATCAATAATTTTTTTTACTGTGTAGCAAAATACACTTACTTGATTCATGAACCATTAAGTTTTTAAAATCTGTGTGAGATAATGTATTCTCTGGGTTTATTTTGACTACTGAAAATTTCTAGTCACAAGACATTATAGCTAGATACATTCCAGGTGTTTTTAAATGTTAAACTGTCTTCAGCATCAGAAATGGCCTCATGAGGTAAGTCATTATTTTCCCCTATTTTCAAGGATGGAATTGAGGCTGGGAGCAGTTTTGTGACTCACCCAAGTTAAGATGTCATGAAAAATTGTTTCCTTGCAAGGTCTGCCACACCCTAAACCAATGTCCTGTCCCAATCCACCTGACTTGAGGGCTGTTAGATTTTAGATGTCAGAATCACATGGAGGGCTTGTGGAACCAGACTGCTGGGCCTCACTGGAGTTTCTGATCCAATGGGTCTGGGGTAGGGCCTGAAAATTTGCATTTCTAACACTTGCAGTTCCCAGATGTTGCCGTTGTCACAGGTCTTGGGACCACACTTTGAGGATCACTGGTCTAGAAGGAGGCTTGTATTAGCTAGTGATTTTTTTCATTGTGATGATGATGGCTAACCTTACACTTGAACAAAAAATGTGGCTTTCTTTAAAGAAAATCATCAGAAGTTCAGTTCTTTAAAATTCAGCTACTACTCACTGACATGGTGTATTACCCTGTTCTCATGCTGCTAATAAAGACATACCTGAGACTGGGTAATTTATAAAGGAAAGAGGTTTAATTGACTCACAGTACAGAATGTTTGGGGAGGCCTCAGGAAGCTTACGATCACGGTGGAAGGGGAGGTAAACACTTCCTTCTTCACATGGAGGCAGCAAGGAGAAGTGCTGAACAAAAGGGGGAAAAGTCTCTTAGACAACCACGAGATTCCATGAGAGCTCCCTCACTATCATGAGAACAGCAGCATGGGGTAACCACCCCTGTGACACAATTACCTCCCACCAGGTTCCCCCATGACACATGGGGATTATGAGAACTACAATTCAAGATAGGATTTGGGTGGGAACACAGCCAAACCATATCATTCCACTCCTGTCCCCTCCCAAATCTCATGTCCTCCCATCTCAAAACACAATCATGCCTTCCCAACAGTCCCCCAAATTCTTAACTTATTCCAGCATTAACTAAAAAGTCCAAGTCCAAAGTCTCATCTCAGACAAGGCAAGTCCCTTCAACCTATGGGCCTGTAAAACCAAAAGTAATTTAGTTACTTCCTAGATACAATGGGGATACAGGCATTGGGTAAATACAGCCATTCCAAATGGGAAAAATTGGCCAAAATAAAGGTGCTACAAGCCACATCCAGGTTACACTGATGCAAGAGATGGGCTCCCACAGCCTTGGACGGCTCTGCCCTTGTGGCTGTGCAGGATACAGCCCCGTCCCAGCTGCCTTCATGGCTGGCATTGAGTGTGTGGCTTTTCTAGGCACACGGTGCAAGCTGTCAGTGAATCTACCATTCTGGGTTCTGGAGGACAGTGGCCCTCTTATCACAGCTCCACCAGGAAGTACCCTAGTAGGGACTCTGTCTGAGGGCTCTGACCCCACATTTCCCTTCCACACTGCCCTAGCAGAGGTTCTTCATGAGGGCTGTGCCCCACAATACACATCTGCCTGGACATCCATGTGTTTCCATACATCCTTTGAAATCTAGATGGAGGTTCTCGAACCTCAATTCTTGTCCTCTGCCAACCCCCGGGACCAACACCACATGAAAGCTGCCAATGCTTAGGGCTGAGACCTCCTCAGCCTGGATTCCATTGTCCACTATCAGCATTTTGGTCAAAGTAATTCAACAAGTCTCTAGGAACTTCCAAACTTTCCCACATCTTCCTGTCTTTTGAGCCCTCCAAGTCTCTAGGAAGTTCCAAACTTTTCCACATTTTCCTGTCTTCTTCTGAGCCCTCCAAGCTGTTTCAATCTCTGCTTGTTACCTAGTTCCAAAGTTGCTTCCACATTTTTGGGTATCCTTGTAGCAGCACCCCATTCTCTGGAGTACCAATTTACTATATTAGTCCATTCTTATGCTGCTAATAAAGATATAACCAATACTGGGTAATATATAAAGGAAACAGGTTTAATTGACTCATGGTTCTGCAGGGCTAGGGAGGCCTCAGGAAACTTACAATCATGGTAGAAGGGGAAGTAAACATGTCCTTCATCACATGGTGGCAGCAAGAAGTGCTGAGCAGAAGGGGGAAAAGCTCCTTAGAAAACCATCAGATCTCGTGATAACTCATTCACTATTATGAGAAGAGCAGCATGGAGGTAACTGCCCCCATGATTCAATTACCTTCCGCCAAGTTCATGGGGATTATGGGAACTAGAATTCAAGATGAGATTTGGGTGGACACAGCAAAACCATATCACGTGGTTTCTTTTACTGAAGCATTTTCCCCTCCACTGCAACTTGCATACCTGTATTGCAACTTTCAAGTGCTATAAAAATAGCACATACCCCCATCAGGCATTGATAGCACCTCCATGTGCAGATTTTGAAGGTAACTGAAACTTCCTCTGCCCTGACAGGCCATGCTGCTGCTCAGTGTCTTCCGCTGCTGTCTCCAAGTGGTGTTCTTGTCATCCTGGAAGCCCTGCCTTGGGCCATGCCTGAAATGCACTAATATGCTCATTTGTGAGGTAGTACAGAGTGGTCAGGGCATCCAGGCACATCATGGATGATGGGGCACTGTTACGGGTGCTGGGACACTGCCATGAACAAGAGGCCCAGGTCCCTCCCCTGTACCTCTGTAGTCGGTGCCAGCCTCATGCCATTCAGCTACCTTCACCCATAATGTCCCTGCACCCTCTCTGTTGAGTCTACCTCCTCTTCCTCCTCCATCCAGCCTAGGTCTCTGGCCCAGTTCTTCAGCCCATATCTTCCAGTGGCCCCACTGCCCTTCCCACTGGCCTGCCTGGGCTGAGAGCACTGCTGGAGACACCACTCCCAGTACATGCTGCTCTGTCCTCTCTAGTTCCCGGTGTCCTGATATTGCCTGATAGTCATGTTGAGTGTCCTGACGTCCACTCTGGCTCTCCAGACTCTGTTCTCTGCCAACTTCCAACCTGCCCCTCCCCACTCATACCCTCTCCCCCTACTCTTAGCAAACCACTCACTCTCCACTTCCCTGAGAAAATAGAAAACTTGGAATAATACGCTTCTTCGATGTCCTGCACCAGGACAATCAACTTCTCTATCTCTGCTCCCATAGCTTCCTTCTAACCCCACAGCAGAAGAGTTATAATACTGCCCCCTGTTGAAAGCTTATTTTCCACCTGTGCTCTGGTCCCCACCCCTCCTGGCTTCTCAGGTGATTTCCACCTGCCTACCACACCCTTGATGCCTGTCTTCAGTCTCTCCTTCACTGGTGTTCTTTGCTTGTCCACCCTTAAACCTGCTTAAGTTCACCTGTCCACGCTTAAACCTGCTTAAGTTCACCTGCTATTTAAAGCAGTGTCCCTTATCCCTGTGTTCCTCTGCAGCTGAGCACCTGTAATTCCCTGTCATAGGCACATTCATCATCTCTACATTCTCACCTTCCACTCACTCCTCAACCTAGTGTGGTCTCCATCATCCCCGCCACACCACAGAATCTGTGCTTCCCAGGGTCTCTGATGACCTTGAGGTTGCTGTTCACTCACCTCCTCACCCCTGGTCTTATGTATCACACCAAAGTGTCAGCTGTGCAAAAGCCAGGAATAGGATTCCTACTCTGTAGGGACCCCTGTGGCTGGCGCAGGTAGCTGCCATAGTCACCGGTTCATATTTCACCGTTCTGCTCATTTCGTGCTCCCTGGTACATCTCTTATTTCACTGCTTGCATATTCTGTCCAAGCTCTGATAAAGCCAAACACATTTAACAGATGGACACAACTGGCCATGCTTCAGGCTTCTGATTCACCCATACTTCCAGGAGCCATGAATCTGAAATCTGGAGCTGGTCTGTAGAAAGCATTCTATTTAGTGAAATGTTGAAGGAATTTTAGGTCAACTATCATGTATTTCATTGTCTCCAATGCCATAATTTCCAAGTGCCTACTTGAACAGTAGATACTTTCAGGGGATTTTCATATCAATGATTGCATTTTGCCATTGTTCTTTATTTTTTCAGTAATGCTCCATCTGTAAACAACCCAAATTTCAAAGCCTGACATAGTGTATTGACAAATTATTCCTGGATGCCTGTTTTTATCAGGCCAAAATCCATAGTTATTCTAAAATGGATATCATACAAATAATGCTGCTGTAGCATGCTAACATTTTCCAGACTATTATGAAAATGTTTAGCTCATTTACAAGTCATGGGAAACAATATCGGAATTTGCTACTGTGTAGAACCATTACTATAGCACTTCCAGTGATGCCTGCTTGTGATCTTTATTGCCCACTTTATAGTTCTGTATTTTCATCTCCATTTTTTAATCCTTAAATATACAAAGTAAAATGTAAATATCTTTTTTGTGGGTCTTTTAGAATTATTTTTTAGCATTAGCACTTGTAAATTTACTGGAAGTTTCAACAATTTGTATTTCATGTTAGATAAAAGTAAGGAAGCTTTCAAAGAAAAGTCTAACAAATATAACACATGTACCCACCTCCCCAAATGAAAAAATGTTAGCATTTTGTTGTATTTTATTTAGATTTTTTTGCAGAGAAATAAGCCATTATACATCAAGTTGAAATTCTACTTACTATTGTTGTGCGACAAATTATCTCAAAACGTAGTGATTTAAAACAACCATTTTTTTTTACTCACAGATTATGAGAGTCATGAATGCCGAACAGGCACAAGAAGGAGTGTTTCTTTCTGCTCCACAAAGTGCAGCTTCAGATAGGAAGGCTTAGAGGTTGGGATGACCCAATGGCCAGGGCAGGAGCCGTCAGGGTGTCTTAATTTACTGATTTGGCAGAGAGTAGTGCTGTCAGTTGGGCCCTCAGTTAGCTGCAACAACTGCACATGATACCTCTGTGTAGCTTGGGCTTCCTCCTAGCATGGTGGCTGCAGACGTCTTACAAAGTGGTTCAGAGCCCCACAGGTGTGTTCTATAATAGCTCACAAGGCAGAAGCTGCATTGCCTTTCAGGACCTAGCCTCAGAAGTCACACTGCCTCATTTCTGCTGTATTCTGTCAGTTCCAGGAGAGTCACAAGCCCTTCCTGGATTCAAGGGAAAGGGAATTAGATGCCATTTCCTGATGAAGGTGGGGCAAAGTTTTGAAAGAGCATGTGTGGGGGACTCATGCCATCTTTGGATAGTCCCAGTCTCCCTCCTCAAGGACATCAACTCTTGTAGTTTGTCTCCAGTCCAAACATGTGTGGGCACTTTCCCTGCATATGTGGGTATCCACGTGAATGTCTCTTCATTGCTTCTCCATCTTTCTAAAAAGTAATCACAGAGAGTCATGAAATCCAGTGTTAGAACCAGGCATTGTTAATGCTCTTATGTTATTATTATTCAAGCTGGGCTAGGGGAATGTGGCATTAATAAAACAATATGTACATTGGATTTAGTTATACTATACTCTCTATTCTAATACTTTGTAATCATTAGTAATAAATAGTAGCATATTACTTCATGTAGGATTTTGCAAAGCTTAAACTATTTTCACATTTGTTCCTTCAGTCCAGGCTTCCTAAAAATAAAATATAATAAGAGTCTTGAGACTTAAGTTCATATTTTGCATGAATCAGATAAAATAATAGATAGTAAAATGCTTTGTAAACTGTGCAGAGCTATTAAGTTGCCCCTTATCATTAAGTTTTTAAGTCTGATTTTCTGATATTGTAATCCTGTCCTAGGCTTCCTCTCATTTCTTTGCTGTAATCTTTGCTTCTACCTCATTTCTTGTGTCCAAATACAATCAGTTATTCAAGGCCTGGCTCAAATGCTGCCTAGAAGCCTTTCCTGACACAGACCTCCCAGCTTACCTCCTCTCCCTCCTCTGTGCTTTTATCGCATTCTGTGTTTCTCTGGTAGATTATCTTTTGTATTCTATTTCACGTATCACATCACTGGGGCTCACCTGGAAGCTTCTAGCAAACCAAACCCCAGTCTCTGTAGCCCTTAGTGCACAACAACATGCCTCCCACCCAGGAGCAGGCTGTGAAAGTCTTTTTATTTTTTAATTATTATACTTTAAGTTCTGGGATATGTGTGCAGAACATGCAGGTCTGTTACATAGGTATACATGTGCCATGGTGGTTTGCTGCACCCATCAACCTGTCACTTACATTAGGTATTTCTCCTAATGCTATCCCTCCCCTAGTACCCTACCCCCTGACAGGCCCTGGTGTGTGATGTTCCCCTCCCTATGTCCATGTGTTCTCATTGTTCAGCTCCCACTTATGAGTGAGAACATGAGGTGTTTGGTTTTCTGTTCCCATGTTAGTTTGCTGAGAATGATGGCTTCCAGCTTCATCCATGTCCCTGCAAAGGACATGAACTCATCCTTTTTTATGGCTGCATAGTATTCCATGGTGTATATGTGCCACATTTTCTTTATCCAGTCTATCATTGATGGACATTTGGGTTGGTTCCCAAGTCTTTGCCATTGTGAATAGTGCCACAATAAACATACATGTGCAGCGTGTTTCTAGTAGAGTGATTTATAATCCTTTGGGTATGTACCCAGTAGTGAGATTGCTGGGTCAAGTGGTATTTCTGGTTTTAGATCCTTGAGGAATGGCTACACTGTCTTCCACAATGGTGGAAGACAATCCCACCAACAGTGTAAATGCGTTCCTATTTCTCCACATCCTCTCCAGCATCTGTTGTTTCCTGCCTTTTTAATGATTGCCATTCTAACTGGCTTGATATGGTATCTCATTGTGGTTTTGATTTGCATTTCTCTAATGACCAGTGATGACAAGCTTTTTTTTCATGTGTTTGTTGGCCGGATAAATGTCTTCTTTTGAGAAGTGTCTGTTCATATCCTTTGCCCACTTTTTGATGGGGTTGTGTTTTTCTTGTAAATTTGTTTAAGTTTGTTTACAAGTGGGATGACAGTGTAAAGTCTCCCACTATTATTGTGTGGGAGTCTGAATCTCTTTGTAGGTCTCGAAGAACTTGCTTTATGAATCTGGGTACTCTTGTATTGTGTACATATATATTTAGGATAGTTAGCTCTTTTTGTTGCATTGATCTTTTACTATTATGTAATGCCCTTCTTTGTCTTTTTTGATCTTTGTTGGTTTAAAGTCTGTTATATGAAACTCTGGGATGAAAATTATTGTCATTCAGAATGTCGAATACTGGCCCCCACTCTCTTCTGGATTGTAGGGTTTCTACAGAGAGATCCACTGTTGGTCTGATGGACTTCCCTTTGTGGGTAACCTGACCTTTCTCTCTGGCTGCCCTTTACATTTTTTCCTTCATTTCAACCTTGGTGAATCTGACGATTATGTATCTTGGGGTTGCTCTTCTCAAGGAGTTTCTTTGTGGTGTTCTGAATTTCCTGAATTTGAATGTTGGCCTGTTGTCCTGGGTTGGGGAAGTTCTCCTGGATAATATCCTGAAGAGTGTTTTCCAACTTGGATCCATTCTACCCATCACTTTCAGGTACACCAATCAAACGTAGGTTTGGCCTTTTCATATAGTCTCATATTTCTTGGAGGCTTTGTTTGTTCCTTTTCATGCTTTTTTTTGCTGATCTTGTCTTCATGATTTATTTCATTAAGTTGATATTCAATCTCTGATATCTTTTCTTCTGGTTGATTGATTCGGCTATTGATACTTGTGTATGCTTCACAAAGTTCTCATGCTGTGTTTTTTAGCTCCATCAGGTCATTTATGTTCTTCTCTAAACTGGTTATTCTAGTTAGCAATTCATATAACCTTTTTTCAAGGTTCTTAGCTTCCTTGCATTGGGTTAGAACATGCTCCTTTAGCTCAGAGGAGTTTGTTATTACTCACCTTCTGAAGCCTACTTCTGTCAATTCATCAAAGTAATTCTAATTCTCCATCTAGTTTTGTTCCCTTGCTGGCAAGGACTTGTGATCCCTTGGCGAGAAGCAGTGTCCTGGCTTTTGGAATTTTTAGCATTTTTGCCCTGGTTTTTCCTCATCTTCGTGGATTTATCTACCTTTGATCTTTGATACTGGTGACCTTCAGATGGCGTTTCTGTGTAGATGTCCTTTTTGTTGATGTTGATGCTATTCCTTTATGTTTGTTAGTTTTCCTTCTAACAGTCAGGCCCCTCTGCTGCAAGTCTGCTGGAGTTTGTTGGAGGTCCACTTTAGACCTTGTTTGCCTGGGTATCACCAGTGGAGGCTGCAGAACAGCAAAGATTTCTACCTGTTTCTTCCTCTGGAAGCTTTGTCTCAGAGGGGCACTCACCAGATGTGAGCCAGAGCTCTTTTGTATGAGGTGTTTGTCAACCCTTGCTGGGAGGTGTCTCCCAGTCAGGAGGCATGGTGGTTAGGGAATCACTTGAGGAGGCAGTCTGTCCCTTAGCAGAACTTGAGTGCTGTGCTGGGAGATCTGCTGCTATGTTCAGAGCTGGCAGGCAGGAACGTTTAAGTCTACTGAAGCTGTGCCCACAGCTGCCCCTTCCTCCAGGTGCTCTGTCCCAGGGAGATGGGAGTTTTATCTATAAGCCCCTGACTGGGGCTTCTGCCTTTCTTTCAGAGAGGCCCTGCCCAGAGAGGAGGAATCTAGAGAGGCAGTCTGGCTACAGTGGCTTTACCAAGCTTTGGTGAGCTCTGTCCAGTTCAAACTTCCCAGAGGCTTTGTTTACACGGTGAGGGGGAAAACC